>NC_000013.11:74014166-74165681 GCF_000001405.40 Homo sapiens | reverse complement strand
TGTGATGTTGATGTGAAGATTTAAACCTGGTGATGTGGCAGTTATCTTGCAACCACGGAACAAGTGCAACTATGAAAATATGAGCCCGGAAGTGGTGGCTCACTCCTGTAATTCCAGCACTCTGGGAGGCTGAGGTGAGTAGATCAGTTGAGGGTGGGAGTTTAAGACCAGCCTGGCCAACACGGTGAAACCCCATCTCTACTAAAAGTACAAAAATTAGCTGGGCATGGTGGCAGGCACCTGTAATCCCAGCTACTTGGGAGGCTGAGGTGGGAGGATCACTTGAACTAGGAGGTGAGGCTGCAGTGAGTCAAGATTGCGCTACTGCACTCTAGCCTTGGTGACAGAGCAAGACTCCATCTCAAAAAAAAAAAAAAAAAAAGAAAAGAAAATATGAAAAGCCCACTGAGGATGACAAAGTTGAAGGATGAAAAGAGTCAGGTTCCTTGATGATTCCATTTTTTAAAACTTTTTAATTTTTAATTTTTATGGGTACACTGAAGGTGTATATATTTATGGGGTACATGAGATATTTTGATACATGCATACAATGTGTAGGAATCACATCAGGGTAAATGGGGTATCCATCACCTCAGGCATTTATCATTTCTTTGTGTTACAAACATTCTAGTTATCCTCAGTTATTTTCAAATGTACAGTAAATTATTGTTGACTGTAGTCACCCTGTTGTGCTATCAAATACTAGATTTTATTCATTCTATCTAACTATATTTCTGTACACATTAACCACCCCTACTCTCCACTACCCTCCCCAGCCTCTGGTAACCATCATTCTACTCTCTATCTCCATCAGTTCAATTGTTTTCATTTGTAGCTCCCACAAATGAATGAGAATATGTGAAGTTTGTCTTTTGGTGCCTGGCTTATTTCCCTTAACATAATATCCTCCAGTTCCACTGGATGATCCCATTTTATTGCTGAGGCTATATAAGCAACTGCCAGCTTCCAGGCATATTACAGGTATAAGGCACTATTTAGTTGGATTTTCTCTTATTTGAACCCAAAAGCATATAGTCTTTCAATCACATCAGGGCCAGGCCTTGAACCTATGATCTTCACTGAGTCTTTTACACTTCAAAAGAACATACATCTCAGGAATTCAAGAAACTATTTAAATGAAACATCTTGAACTAACATTTTAAAAATAATTTAGTGCATTCTTTTTTTGTCACAAATCCAGTTACATTAAGCATGACCAGTTGTTCTACCTACTTTCATGTGTTAACACTTTCTACTGGGGTAATATAAAAAAGAATAAACAAGAAAATTAAAATATGACTAATTTGCAGTAAATGCACAAATATTAGAATAAATATAAGGATTTAAAAATAAAATTTCCATATTGACTTTGATTAATCATTTTAACTAAAATGTATTCAGAAATATGTAAAGTCATAGCTTCTTAAAAAGCAAAAAAAGCCATAAATATGTTTTTATTTTATCTTGGGAAGAAAACAGAAGGGTTAAATGATCTGTCTGTGATCATTTGACTAGACAGTGACAAACATGACTAGAATACAGTTCTTTCAAACCAAAGGTTTTTCCACTCTATTATACTGACTGCCAAATGGAAACATAGAAACTGTCATAATTATTAGAATCTTTTCACTAGAAAGCAATGGCCAGATATACCTTTCCTGAAATTTACCTGCGTCATCTTCAATTATTCTCTTATTATTTTCTGTCCTTATTCTTATGCATTGTACTGATATTTCTTCTTTCTTTACTTTTTCTTTCTTATTCTGTCACTATTTCTTTTTTTTTAATTTTTAAATTATTTTTAAAATTTTTGTGGGTACATAGTAGGTGTATATATATATACGGGGTGCACAAGATGTTTTGATACAGACATGCAATGTGAAATAAGCACATCATGGAGAATGAGGTATCCACATCCCCTCAAGTATTTATCCTTTGAGTTACAAACAATCCAATTACATTCTTTAAGTTATTTTGAAATATGCAATTAAGTTATTATTGACTATAGTCACCCTATTGTGCTGTCAAATGGTAGGTCTTACTTCTCCTTTTCATTTTTTGTACCCATTAACCATCCCCACCTTCCCTCCAACCCCCACAACCCTTCCCAGTCTCTGTTAACTATCTTTCTACTCTCTAGTTCAATTGATTTGATTTTCAGATCCCACAAATAAGTGAAAACATGAGATGTTTGTCTTTCTGTGCCTGGCTTATTTCACTTAAGGTAATGATCTCCAGTTCCATCCATGTTGCTGCAAATGATTGGATTTCATTCTTTTCTTATGGCTGAATAGTACTTCATTGTGTATATATATCACATTTTCTTTATCCATTCATCTGTTGATAAACAGATATGATTCCATATCTTAGCTATTGTAAACATTACTGCAACAAATATAGGAGTGCAGATATCTCTTTGATATACTGATTTTCTTTCTTTTGGGTGTATACCCAGCAGTGGGATTTCTGAATCATATGGTAGCTCAATTTTTAGGTTTTTGAGGAACCTCCAAACTGCTCTCCATAGTAGTTGTACTAATTTGCATTCCCACCAACAGCGTACAGGGGTAACCTTTTCTCACTATTTCATTTGTTTTCTCTCTTTCTATAGCCTCTACCTTCCCTTTTCTCTCCTTCAGATTCCCTGTTTTTATTTTACTAATTCCTTTCACTTTTATCTCCATTCTTCTACCAAATAATCCACTTTCTCTTCTTAACATAAACTCACTGGACTTGAGTACCAATCATTTGTTCTTTTTATTGTTGTTTTTGCTTGTTTTTTCTTTGATGTAATTTATTTTCATTTGTAATCCCTTTTCTTGCATACACTTTTAAAAGTGCACATGCTACCTTCTCATTTATTGTTTTATTCCATATCTCCGGCTGTTTTCCAAAGTTAGCAGAGCAGTAATAATCATAAGAACCTGGGCTGGGCACTTTAACCAATGCCTCTGCATTTCACAGTTGACCCACAAACCTCTGCCAGGGGTGGAAAATAAAAACTATGTACATGCTGAGGAGGTGGAAGAGAATAAACAGGCAGAATCCCAAGAGGTAAGAGAGCAACGAAGGAGAGAAATACAAGAGAAGAGAAAATAAGTAGCATTAAATCCTACTATTTCAGAGCCATATTATTTTACACACACACAGACAAAAGAAAATGGGCAAGTTTTCAGGTTGTTGGGATTTACTCCTGGAGGAAGGCACAGGGAACCCCCAAATTTTAAGCATCTGGCCTAATTTAAGAATCAAATTGAAAGAAGTCAGTGGTAGAGCAGAAACTGAGTTAAAGGTTGAGATAAAAGAGACATTGGTCAAAGTCTCTTCAATGTTGATCAATCTGTGTTGTTCAACAAGAGGCTTCCTTTGTAGTGTCATTCATCCGTATGTTTGATGAGGAGGAGGACAGTAGGCAAAGAACAGGGAGAATGAGAACACAAGTTTTCTGAGCTGAATAGCTGCCTTGAACCCATCATTCACGTCTTTTACAAAAAAGGTCCCATGGTCCTAACTTTGCTGCAACTCCAGGTTTTGTGGACTTGCAATTCTGTAGTTAAAACCTATCTCTTTTGGAAATAAAAGTAATATATGTGGCTGCCACTTTTCCAGTGTTCCATTCCACCATGGAATTTATATAACTTATTAAAATGAACTCTATCTGATAGTCTAAATATTTTCTTATAAGAGAAATTGCAAAAATGATGGAGATTTTAAAATATATTGATTTAAAATGGAGCAATTTAAGTACATCATCTCTAGATTAATCAGAGAATGAAAAAACTGATTTGAGCATTTCATATGATTCCCCCTGACCCCTGAGTCTATCATGAGCACTTATCCATGTGGATTTGCTTACGTATATGGAGCATTCAAGAAGAAAAGAATTGAGGCGGAATGAAAATTAATCTCTACTCAATTGCTAAATAATTAAACATGCAGCCCATATTTCCACAGGCCACCTGAGGCTGGGTCTGAAATTGAGGACTATGGGTTATATATTAGCTTCCTAGGGCTGCTGTAACAAATCACCACAAACTCGGTGGCTTAAAACAACTGTTGATTCTCTGCATCTGGAGGCCAGAAGTATGAAATCAGAGCATTAACAGGGTTATTCTTTCTGGAGGTTCTGAGGGAGAATCTGTTCCATGTCTTCCTCCAGTTTCCGGTGGCTTCTGGCACCCCGTGGCATACCTTGGCTTGGAGCTGCATCACTCTAACTTCTGTCTTCATCTCCACATGGCCTTCTTCCCCTGTGCCTCTGTATGTGTCCAAATCTCCCTCTCTTTTTCCCTGCAAAGGCACCAGGCTTTAAATTTAGGGCCCACCCTAAATTCAGGATTATTTTATCTTAGAACCTTAACTAATTACATCTGCAAAGACCCTATTTTCAAATAAGGTCACATTCTGGGGTTCCAGGTGGATGTAAATTTTGGGAGGACACTATAAAACCCATTACAGGTGATAACAGTTTTTTAAAATATGACTCAGCACAGATCAACAAATTTGCTAAAACTCTAACTAAACCACCTTTCTCAAATCCCCCTAGTCCAGTGTGGGAAGCCTTCCCAGAATGGATTCAAACACTCCCTTGTCAATTAAAAAAAAAAAAAAAAGACTCTCCTGAATGTCCAAAACCAATCTCCGTGTTCTCAATCTCCATCCTATGGACACCTCCTGCATGAACAGCTTAGCCTCTTGGTTATGAGGTCTCCAGTGTTCCCACCTTGGCTACTCCTCTGCTCTGCTCTGATGGCTACCTTGCTGAAGAGGGTGAAGAGGACCTATTCCCATCTCTTGCCTATCAGAACTTTTTTAATTCCCACAAAACAACGAGCCTTGTGTACTTGCACTTCAACTTAACTAGAGCAGGCCAAACCCGGCTCAAATTGAAGTACTCTGGGTCAGCTACCCAGAATTCTTCCTCCCTGCTAACCTCATGCAGTATGTCCCATTCTCTGTCTCCCTTAACCTCCACAGGTTTCTTCCCTTTCTGGATTATGTGCTTTTAAGTTTCTTAAGGAGTTGAACTCTTTTTCTGGATTTCTGAAGGTGAGGCTACAAGAAAGAAGCCAAAACCCCAGGGGTGCCATATTTTCTCCCCCTGTGGCTCATTTGATACTTACATAAAGACACTTTATTTGTTCTATGCTGTCTGTCCTCTGGAAGTGCCTGGATCTGTATTAGGCTGAGACGTTCCCTGAAAACACAGAAACTTCACTGTAGATGAGTTTTCTTATTCTCTTCTCTCTGCAACAAAAAATATACAAAGGATATATCCATTTGTTTATTTTCAATTAATATCTAGTTACAAGATGATACAAATAAGATGAATAAAACAGACCTGGTAGATGGATATTTTAGAAGGAGTGCCATTCAACGTTAGTGTATCAATGAGGTCTCCATGGGTTCAGAATTTCAGTACACAGAACATGGGAACACATATACCATTACACCACAGTCGTACACTAAAGAAGAAATTATATGACTTACTTTTATAAATTCTGAAATAGGATGTTCAGTTCTCTCTGAGGAGTTTATTCACACTAACCAAACTGCAAAGTATTCATAAGCCAAATTGCCAATTTATTAATTTACCTAGAAAAAAGATAACCACCAGGTAGACCATGATACTCACTTGGACTAGTTGGAAAAGTACCTTTTTTTTTTTTTTTTTTTTTTTGAGACAAGGTCTCCCTCTGTCACACAGGCTGGAGTGTAGTGATGTGATCTTGGCTCACTGCATCATTGACCTCTTGGGCCCAAGTGATTATCCCACCTCAGCCTCCTAAGTAGCTGGGACACAGACATGCAGTTTTTGTATTTTTGGTAGAGACAGGGTTTCGCCATGTTGCCCAGGCTGGTCTCGAGCTCCTGAGCTCAGGCAATCTGCCCACCTCAGTTTCCCAAAATACTGGGATTACAGGAATAAGCAACCATGCCCGGCTGAAAAAGAACTTTTTGATAGAAATGTCTACCTGAAAAAAAAATTTTAGAGCAGAGACTATCTTGCAATTACTGAATAAGAGTGAAAGAAATTGAATGACCTTAAGGTATACAGCAACTTGTCTCCTTTGGGGTTACATGTGCTAAACAGACAAAAATATTTCTCAGTTACTCCAGAGCAGGCTAAAGTAATAATGAAATATGTGCATTATCCAGTTGTCAATTTTCAAACTTCTTTAGCATGGGACAACATTTTCTGTGACTAAAATTGTACTGTTAGAATTTTCAGCATTATTATACACTTCCTTTATTTATTTTTCTTACATTTTTAGATCAGGTCATCCTGATAGGAATTTGGGAAGATATGATTCTCTTACCTGTGATACACTTGTATGACTTGTCTTGGTATGAAATTATATTTTTTGAAAAAACACCCTTTCCAAAAGATGGCACTCATTCATGTGAAGTTGTTATTTCTGAAGGGTGCACCCTTTTCTGAAGGGTGTCCCCTGTGTGTTTGCCACACAGGGTTATATGGGCACATGTGGGCACAGGGATCTCCAGTGAACTTAACCCCTAGAAGGAACATGACCTAGTGGGACATGCAAAAGTCTATGATTCAGGATATCTGGGTTCTGATCTTAGCTCTGCCTCAAGGTTCCTGAGGTGTAGGAAGATCATGCCTGTTTTCTCATATTTACATACAGAGAAGTGGGGTAGATGATTTTCCAGTCCCTCTGACTAGCACATAGTAGGCGCACATGCTCATTGAACCAATGAATCAATGTAGGAGCTCTTTTAACTTTAAAAACATTTACAAAATCTTTGTGAATTAAAATCCTGATTGATGGGTGACTTTTTACTAGTTCATTTTTTCTCTAACAGTAGTTTTCCATTTAGTCATTCAGTGAACACTCATTGCAAACGACCTATGTGTCAGGCAAGGTCTCTGACCTGAAAGTTTACCCCACCCTATTAATGTTAAGCATTTTCTTCTTCATATTCTTATGTATTTATATATTTTATCCCCACCCCACATTACCCAACACTCTATATCTACATATGGCCTTTTTATTCTAATAATCTAATAGTCTCTTTCACGACCAACTTCCTCTGTCCATGTTTTCCTTTCCCATGATTACCCCAAGATTTCTTTCTCTCTGGGACTCACTTGTTTTGATCCCTTTCTTTCTCAAGAAGCCGGCCAACTGCTTCCTAATCCAAGTTCAGAAGTTCAGGAAAAGTAAAAAGCAGATTCTAACAAGAAAGCAAGAGTGTGAGTGAAGGATCCCCGTGGCCTTCTGTTCACCTAATCCCAGGCCATGAATTGCCCACTTCTCTAACACCGGCAGGTCACTCTGGCTTCCCCAATCCTGGCGGCAGATTGCTCCAAGAATTTGAGCAACTCCCAGCTCTCCTCCATCTTACACCCCCCTTTAAGTCCCCCACAGGGTGGCCAGGCAGGAATCCAGCCAAACATCCTGCAGCCGCACATGTGTCTTCACTCACAGTCCAGCCCACGCAGCCTTCACAGGTCGCTGCCCTCACGCGGACCTATGCGGACCACCCACAGGGCCTTCCCCTGAAGCCCTGAACATGCCTCCCTTGCTCTCTCTTCTCTCAGTCAAGCCCAAACATGCCCTGTCTACACCCCACTTATTTCCACCAATGTCACTATGAAGGAAACTTTAAAGAGAAACATGGTTTTAAGCCATAATATTTTAAATTTGCGTGAGAATAAGCTAATGAAGTGCAGCAGAAGCAGCAACAACTCACACACATTGAATACAAGACTGAGGAGGAGAGATACTCTGCGAGGTAAATGGGAGTTGCAGAGAAGAGGGCTGGTTGTGAGGGCACCTGATGAATGCCATGGGAGCAGCAGGATGTCTAAGGACTCAGCAGGTATCTGGTCCCAATTAATCAATACCCAAGAAAAGCAAAAGCCCAACAGTAAATTCCTTGTGCTTAACTGTTTTCTCTGACCCAAAAAATTGGCCAATCTTAGGCTGTTAACATTCTCTCTTCAGCATTTGAGGACAGAAGGAAGCTTAATGACTGGTCTGGGGTACATCCCAGGATTTTGTAATGGATCCCCAGGAAGCCTAAGGGATCAGGAAAAATATGGCTGTAAGGTGACCACCTCCAGTGATCACTTTGAGCTCCCCTTCTTTCACTCTAGTATTTGTGTCTACTATGTTAAGAGCTGCTGCTCTTAGGGTGGGTGAGCATAGCCAACCTCCCTCCCTTACCCTACCAAAGTTAAACCGTTAAGTCTAGGGTAACATGCTTTTTAAAATACAGCAATGATTTTCCTATGTAATCAGCTCTTGATCAGTTACATAAATTGATTTCACAGGTAACTGTAGCCCTGCTATGGGACCTTTGGCTATAGGATCAGGTAAACCAGTGTTTGACCATTTAAGCCCTGTAAGTTTCATTTTAGAAATCTGTCATAAAGAGATACTTGGAAAAAATAAAAATACATGTACAAGAGTATTTATTACAGCAATTTATATATTTGTAAACTTTGCTAAATAAAGCAAATATCTCTTGATGGGTAAATTACTGTACCTCTATATAATAGAAAATTAGGCAGCCACTAAATGTTTATATCTTTATTCGTTGATATAGAAAGTCCCCTGTGATTCATTGTTAAATGCAAAAGGAAAGCGGTAAAACAACATATATGATCTCATTTATGTTAAGTTTATACTGTCATACCCTCACACACACATACAGAATAAAATGTTAACCAAAGTGTCTCTGTCAAATTTCCAAAGTGAAGAGATACCTGCACTCCTATGTTCGTTGCAGCACTGTTTACAATAGCTAAGACTTGAAAGCAACCTGTCCATCAACTGATGAACAGATAAAGAAAACGTGGTACATATACATGATGGAATACTATTCAGTCATATTGAAAAAAGAGTGAGATACAGTCATTTGCAACAACATGGGTGGAACTGGAGATCATTATGTTAAGTGAAATAAGCCAGGTACAGAAAGACAAATATCACATGTTCTCACTTATTTGTGGGATCTAAAAATCAATTGAATTGGTGAACATAGAGAGTAGAAGGATTGTTACCAGACATTGGGAAGGAAAGTGGGGGGTTTGGGGGTGGGCGTGGGGATGGCTAATGGGTCTCAAAAAAGAAATAGAAAGAATGAATAAGATCTACTATTTGATAGCACAATAAGGTGGCTGTAGTCAATAATGTGTGTATTTTAAAATAAATAATGTAATTGGATTGTTTGTAACTCAAAGGATAAATGCTTGAGGGGATGGATACCTCATTCTCCATCATGTGCTTATTGGTTGACTCAGAGCCTACATTTTATACCATAAACTGTAGTATAGAAAAACATACATGATGATCACAGAGCAGGTTCCTTCATCCCAAAGGAGATAAGAGAGGAATCCAATGGCTGGAATGAATTGGTTAGAAAGAAACATAACTAGACCATACAGAGGCCTCTGAAAAGTGCCCAGAACTCTGTACCAATTTGGAATAAAAATTATGAAGAGAGATCGCAGTATAAATCCTATATTCAGGGGAGATTTTCAAAGCAGAAAGGACTGTGGCTTAGCTTCCCAAGATGTAACTTTGGAAGGTGCATTGTGGAGGAAGTCTCCAACACAGCATCTGAAGGATGGACAAGAAGTGCTGAGAAAGTTGTGTATGAAAAGGTTTCCATGAACATAGAAGTGGCACAACCAACAGTGGACCAAGACTATGTACATGCTGAGATGACAGGCCATGCGGAAACACTGGTATCAGTAGCAGATTCTAGGACACTGCAACAGGGATCCATCAGGTGAGCTGTACCTCACTGGAGGCTGGCAAGGTCAGAAGAAATCACTTGGGCTGAAACCCCTCCCAATACCAGGATGACACAAAAACAACAGCACTCCTCTCAACACAGATTATCCCGAAGAAAAGAAAGGAAAGGAAGGGAATATATCACCAGCGGAAGATTTAATTGGAATTGGCCGTGTATAAGCTATAAGGAACTAAGTTATCTTCAGTTGCTCAGATTGTTTTTCTGCCATCTTAAAAATAGGAGCTACAGGCTGGGCGTGGTGGTTCCCGCCTGTAATCCCAGCACTTTGGGAGACCGAGATGGGTGGATCACCTTAGGTCAGGAGTTGCAGACCAGCCTGGCCAACATGGTGAAACCCCATCTCTACTAAAAATACAAAAATCTAGCCAGGCATGGTGGCGGGTGCTTGTAATCCTAGCTACTTGGGATGCTGAGGCAGGAGAATTGCTTGAACCCGGGAGGTGGAGGATGCAGCAAGCTAAGGACATGCAATTGCACAGTGGCCTGGGCAACAAGAACAAAACCCTGTCTAGAAAAAAAACAAAAACAAAAACAAAAGGAAAGAAAAGAAAGAAAAATAGGAGCTATATATAACTGACTTAATTTAACTTGTAGAGAAATAAACAGTGTTAAAATTTTTAACACCTAGGTTAGTGACTGTAAAATTTTAAACCCGCTGCATGTGGGGGCATGCTTGAAATTCTAAGGAACATTCATGCAAAGAATACTTGCACCATGAACTAATTCAAACCTTAGACAAGACTTGGAGCAAGTCAGAACCAGGATCCTGTGAGAGAACTGTACGCAGAAAGTCAACTGTGATATGAAGTACACTGAGCAAATATTGATAGTCAGCGGGGAAAGAAGGAGATAAAGAATAGTATATTTAAGACCATTAGCTCTGACTGTGAAATATTCAAAGAAATAAATCCCCTTCTCATAAAGGGAAAGCTAATTCTAGGGGATACCAGCTTAGGTGATAAATTTGGTGGCTGGCAATATATTTGAAGAGTTTGACTTTGGAAGAAGAAACAAGATGTCCTGTTCAAGCTATACGGAGAACCCATAGTGATATAGAAGCTAAATAGGCTAGGGGAACCTTGGGACCCTGGAGAGCAGAGATCCCATGATGACGGAAGAGCCAAAGACTGGCCGGTACCCATCATCTCTTGACCCAGACTCTGTCATGGCCCAGTGATGGGACCGTCACTATTATCTCGCAGCTAGTGGGTAATCCAGGGGATTTGGATTGGGGTCCTGTACATCATTTTCCACAACCCTAAGCAAAGACACTTGCCCACCCTTTGCTTTCCTGACTTCAGGGAAGCCTCTTCTCTAGGACAGGCTAAACTCCCTGGCAGAGGAAAAGGAGGAAAGAGAAATTCCTGGGAAAACCCTGGTGATCTAATATTGGAACATGTAACAACTTAACCCATGGTGTATGTGTAACTCCACAATCTCAGAGATTCTGGGAGGCAAATTGTATATAAACAAAAATCGAACAAAGATGTAGCTACTATAATTTTGTAAAAATAATTTTTTTGTCTAGGGATGTAAATACTTATAATGGGATAAAAGGAGGATAATATTTTTGAAAATTCAACCAATACAATTTATGTTTATAAGTTTTTACCTTTTTCAAGGCCCTACTTATTGAATAAATAGTATTTTTTTTTTGAGATGGAGTCTTGCTCTGTTGCCAGGCTGGAGTACAGTGGTGTGATCTCGGCTCACTGCAACCTCTGCCTCCCAGGTTCAAGCAATTCCCCTGCCTCAGCCTCCCTGGTAGCTGGGACTACAGGTGCGTGCCACCATGCCCAGCTAATTTTTTTTTTTTTTGGTATTTTACTAGAGACGGGGTTTCACCGTGTTGTCCAGGATGGTCTTGATCTCCTGACCTCGTGATCTGCCTGCCTTGGCCTCCAAAAGTGCTGGGATTACAGGCATAAGCCACCACACCCGTCCGAATAAATAGTATTTATTGCTTCGGTGGGGGGTTCATATCCAATCTAGAACAAAAACATCACCATTTCACTTAAACTTGAAAGTAAAGGGTTAAAAATTCAGGCGGGCAGGTAGGAAGATAAATTCACAGGGATCATGCCTAGAAACCCAGGACAGTGGGCAATAGATTCAGCAGATCCTAGACCAGAAGGGCAATCAATAGCTTGACTTTCACGGGTAAATCCTACCACACTGCAAGTGTTCTAGAGAAGCTTTGACTCTAACAAACCAAATGCTGTTAACTAACAGTGGCTGAGTAAGGTCTCTGGTTCTTGGATCTTTGAGATTCTTAATATGAGTGTAGTGTGGTAAAAGCCAATGAGGGTTTGCAATGAGGCAACAGCTGGACCAAAAGAAACCCCATATTTGGAACAAGGAAGATGAAAAAAGCATGACAGCTGGAGGATATAGAAAGGGTATGAACTTAGCATAGATATAGCACATGTTCAAGTCCAGGCTGGACCAGCTATAACTTGATGGACTGAACAAGCACAGACGGTAACCTCTGGACCAGATGACTCATCCCTAGGCCAGGACAATATTTTCGCCAGTCCCTCCTTGACATCTTTTCTCACCCAGGTCCTAGTTCAACTCGTGATTTCAAAGAAAAAATTGAGAAAGAATCATGAGCTGACGGATTTGAAACCTTAAATTGACTTCATTGAATTCAAGAAATTCCTGAGTAAACTTGAATGGGGAATACAAAAACTGCCACTGTCAAGAAGACTGGGAGCTCTTACATTTATATCATTTGAATTACAATGGAGGAGAAAAAAAGCATTTTGTCTTTAACACCCAAATTTTCTAACTATGTGAAAATTAAACCCAACATATATGTTAACAGTAACAGGCACATAGCAAACATTTAATAAACAATAGCTCTTAATTAGTATGAAATTATTATACCTTTCTACATTTATCTGACATTTATGCTTTGGTTTTTATCAACTTTAAGGTTTCAAGAGCCCTCTGTTTTTATTATTATTATTATTATTATTATTATTATTATTATTATTATTATCTGTAATGGGGTCTCACTCTGTCACCCAGGCTGGAATGCAGTGGTGCAGTCATGGCTTACTGCAGCCTCGACTCCCCGGGCTCAAGCAATCCTCCCACCTCAGCCTCCTAAGTAGCTGGGACTACTGACGTGCACACCACTATCCTCAGCTAGTTTTTGTATTTTTTTAGAGACAGGGTTTCACCATGTTGCCCAGGCTTGTCTTGAACTCCTGGGCTCAAGTGATCCTCCCACCTCAGCCTCCTAAAATGCTGCAATTACAGGTGTAAGCCACAGCACACAGCTGATTTTTTAAATTATTGTTTATGTAGAAACCTTGTGTTGCCCAGCCTAAGAGCCCTCTATTTAAAAGCAAGCATTTAAAAATAGCTTGTAAGTTTGTCAGGTGGCACAAAAGTACTAGCAAACAACAACAACAAAAAATTGGTTCTTAGGGAAGTAATACAATTATGCAAATATGGTGGGGTACGAACCTGAAGGTAAAAGGGTAAAAGCTAATGTTTGAGAGGGGAGTACTCTAGAAAAACTTACTGAGTTCATACTTTGCCTGGAAAGGAAAATAAGTTCATGTGGACCCTAAGTTATATAAGAATTATGTGTACCAGAATGACAAATAATTAATAATGAGAAACTTAGTATAATATTGCTGCCAACCAGCCTGTATTGAGAAATCAAATTTTTAAAAATGGCTTAGTAAATCTGGAATCAGAGCAAATGTGTTGGGTGGTCTCTCAGGCTATTTTCATCACTGTAGGAGCCCAGTGGACTGTTTTTCTTCATTAAAGGACTGTACCATCCAGAGCATCTATTTATATTCCAAAGTCAGGCCACCCTCGTGCTTGGAAAATACTGCCAGAAATGAACCATCCTCACAGTGTTAGTTGCCCTTTTTATTCTCCAGGAGTGCTGCTACTCTTTAGTTTGCATTTGTTCACCTCGTCTCTCTTCTTTTCAACGTGCATTTTTTAACATGTTGCCAAATAATTAGATTATTTCTTATTCCTATTATTTTTGGTTGGTTACTTTCACCAGCACTTAAAGAGTGATCTTTATTCTTAATGTCATTACCGTAATGTCTTCAAATCACATTGCAGATAGGTTACTTCTGTCAAGTCTGTTCCCTGATTTGTATATTTATAAGCTTCAATCATTTCCTAGCCAGAATATCTTAATTTCTTTTGACTTCTTCCTGGGTTTGGAGAATCTTCTTATTTATTTATTTATTTATTTATTGAGATGGGGTCTCACTCCATCACCCAGGCTGGAGTGCAGTGGTGCGATCTCAGCTCACTGCAACCTCTGCCTCCCAGGCTCAAGCAATTCTCCTGCCTCAGCCTCCAGAGTTACTGGAACTACAGGTGTGCACCACCACACCCAGCTAATTTTTGTGTTTTTTTTGTAGACACAGGTTTTCGCATTGTTGCCCAGGCTGGTCTCAAACTCCTGGGGTCAAGCAATCCGCCCACCTCGGGCTCCCTAAGTGCTCGGATCACAGGTGTGAGCTACCGTGCCCGGCCTGGAGATTCTTCTTAATTTGAGGCTTGTACAGCTTTTATCCACTGACAAAATGCTTAATCATATTTTGTTTTAATCTAGTTGTAATTATAGTTTTAAATAAAAATGTAATACAAAAATATTCCCCAAATGACATTTCTTCATCCTATCTCAAGACCTAGCATTCAAAACTATTACTCTTCAGTCCTCGTTTAGTGCTCTAAGGCAAATTCTCTATCCACACTTGCAATTACCTAAATAAGTTAACAGTCATTCAACCAACCGCTAAAAAACTTATTGCCTATGTTAAGTCCTAAAATTAATAATCAGGGACAGAGCACCACTATTTTATTACATTATAAGTAGTTACTAATAAGAGTTTTATCTTTTTAATTCATGGAATCAAAGTCATTGAAAATACAGTAGTTTCAGATACCCAAGCTCAACTGCAGTCTGAAAATATTTAAATGGAAAATTCCAGAAATAAACCCAAAGTTAGTTCTGGGTACTGTGATAAAATCTTGCACCTTCTGGCCTGTCCACCCCAGGACATGAGTCTTTCCTTTATCTAGTGTATCCACACTGTTTGTGCTCCTCTGCCCCCCTTGTGTCCCTTAAAAGTAGCCATCTTGGTGATCAGGTTGATGGTCATGCTGTCACAGTACTTGTGTTCAAGTCACCCTTATTTTACTTACTAATGGCCCCAAAGCACAGGAATACTGACGCTGGGAATTCAGATATGCCATCAAGTGTTTCCTTTAAGTGAAAGGTAAAAGTTATCAATAAAAAGGAAAGAAAAATAGTTTGTTGATGTTGCTAAGATCTATAGTAAGAATGAAGCTTCTATCCATGAAATTGTGAAGAAGGAAAATAAATTCATGCTAGTTTTCCTGTTGAACCTCAAACTGCAAAATTACAGCCACAGGTCATGAATAGTTGAGATGGAAAAGACATCACATTTGTGAATGAAAGGCATGAACGAAATGTGTTCCAGTTGATGGCAGTTAGGTTCGCCACTGTCCACAATTTAGGGACCCACTGGGGGTCTTGGAACATTTTCCCCTCAGATAAGGGAGACTACTGTACTAATGCTCCATTGATGAGTAAATAATGACAGTTGGGTGGGAAGAATTGCTTCAACATGTATTAGAGAGATATTCACTAATTCATTCAGCAATAATTCAGTAGATATATATTGAGCATCAACTGTATTTCTATATTATACTAGGCAACGTGAATACATCAGTGAAATAGAAAAAAAAATCAGTCCTTACTGAAATTACAATCCAGCAGAGGGAGAGAGAAAATAAAAAGCAAGCAAACTATGTTTATTGCTCATGTTAATGTACAGAGAGAAAGTAGAGAAGGGACATGGATGAGGTAAGAAAGAGATTGCTATTTTTGAAAAGGTTGTCTGGGAAGCCCTCACTGACTGGGTGAGCAGAAACCAGAAGGTGAGGAAATGCAACCAGCACATATCTAGGGGCAGAGTCCCCGAGGCAGATGGAATAGCAAGTGCACAGCTGGACGGGATGATCTGGTGTGTTCAGAACAACAAGGAGGCCAGAGGGGGTGAAAAATAATGAGAGAGAAACCTGGGAGATGGGATTGGAGAGGTCACAGGTAGCCATGCCATGACTACCTTAGAAGTCTTACAAGGACTTTGCCCATTACAAGTGAGAGGGGACATTGTGAGGGTGTTGAGCAGAGAGGTTGTAAGATCTAACCTATGTTGTAAGAGGTCCCTCTGGATAGTACCCTGAGAAGAGTCCATAAGGAGGAAAGATGGAAGCACGGAGTCCATTTGTGAGGTGTCCGCAATAATCTAGGTGAAAGGTGAAGGGTAGTAACAATGGAAGTGGTCATGGAATATCAGATTCTGGATATAATTTGAAGGTAAGAAGTCAATAGGGCTTGCTGACATACGTGAGCTATGAGAGAATGAATCAAAGATAATACTAAGCTTTTTAAGCTAACAGTGGATGAAAAGAAGGAATTTTTATTTATTGAGATGAAGAAGATTACAAGGAATAGATTTAGGGTCAGAATAGAGTCAGGTAAAATCTGGAGTTCAGTTTTAGAAAAGGTAATTTTAGGTGCCCATTATACACATGAGTATAGCTATAGAATAGGCAGTAGAATATATAAATCTACAGTTAAGTGCAACTTTAAGATGCACATTTGAGAGTTGTCAGCATATAGATGACCTCTAAGTCTATCAAGACTGATTGAGATCACTAAGGGAGTGGGCTGAGATTGTTAAGACATCCAACAACAAGCCAGGCAAGGTGGCTTGTGCCCGTAATCCCACTACTTTGGGAGGCCGAGACTGGCAGACCAGCTGAGGTCAGGGGTTCAAGACAAGCCTGGCCAACATACTGAAATCCCGTCTCTACTAAAAATACAAAAATTAGCTGGGCCTGGTGGCAGGTGCCTGTAATTCCAGCTACTAGAGAGGCTGAGGCAGGAGAATTGCCTGAACCCGGGAGGCGGAGGCTGCAGTGAGCCGAGGTCATGCCCCTGCACTCCAGCCTGGGTGACAGAGTGAGACTCCATTTCAAAACAAAAACAAAAGAGATCCAAGAATAAACATGAACACTCCAACACTGACAAGATCAGAGCATCAAAACAAAACAAAACAAAACAAAAAAACTGGAGAATGTGGGTTCTCTGGAAGGCAAGAGAAGGAAAATGTTTCAAGGAGGACAAGGTGCTAAACTATCTCTTTAACTATCAGGGTTGTGTTAAACTCCACCTTCTTGAGCTATCAATCAGTGCCAGGTGCTGCTTATAGGTCAAGATGATGAAGTTTAGTGTTTACCACTAGTTTAAACACTAGAGTTAATTGTTGTTGACCTTAGCCAATGCAGATTTAGTAAGCAGAGTGCGGGGTGGGGTGGGGGGGGAGTGAAAGTCTTACTGAATTTGTTTCCAGAGAAGATGGGAGGAGAGAAATTGAGTACAGAAAAAAAAAAAAAAAAAAAAAAAGAGCAGTTTTGGCAGACTTTCATTGTGACAAAGAACAGAGAAATGGGATGGGAGCTGGAGGAAACTGTGAGGTCAGGAGAATGGTTTTTAAATTTATTTTCTAAGACTGGATAAATTATAGCATGTTGTATGCTGAAGGGAGGAATTCAGTGGAGAAGGAAAAACTAGTGATGCAAAAGTGAGAGAACAGGCCGGGGGTGGTGGCTCACACCTGTAATCTCAGCACCTTGGGAGGCCGAGGCGGGTGGATCATCAGGTTAGGAGTTCGAGACCAGCCTGGCCAACACAGTGAAACCCCGTCCCTACTAAAAATACAAAAAATAAATTAGCTGGGTGTGGTGGTACATGCCTGTAATCCCAGCTACTTGGGAGGTTGAGACATGAGAATCGTTTGAACCTGAGAGGCCGAGGTTGCAGTGAGCCAAGATCATCCCACAGCACTCCAGCCTGGGCGACAGAGTGAGACTCTGTCTCAAAAAAAAAGAAAAAAAAGAAGTGAGAAAACAATTATTGGAGCAATATACATAAATGGGTGAGAAGATAAAGAAGCTCAAAATGGAGGAGTTGGCTTTAGATAGGACCAGTGATGGTTTACCCATGGTAGGAGGAGGAAAGGCAGAGCTATCAGAAGATGGGTAGCTGAGCTGTGAAAGTATGTGTGCAAAATCACTCCTAGGGGCTTCTGTTTTCTTAGGGAAAAAAGAAGCAAGCATAGGAGACAAGGCATTGGAAGCTTGAGGTCAGACTGGAGGTATAAAACAGTCAATTGACTAGGGAATGTTGCAGGAGTTCTGGGCGGTACGTAAGTCCCAAAGGAGCATTTCGAAACTCATGTTCCTTGGAAAATATTCCCAGAGTGTTAGAAAGTGAGTTTGAAAAAACTCAGTGACTACATATTTTGGGAAACCACTGTACACTATGTGGCCCAGTCTCCCAGATTCACAATGCCAATTAACAAATTAACAGCCACTGCAGCACCCTCTTTGGAGGGTTGAAGAAAGATGTTTAACATCGTGTAACCAAAATTTTTCCAAATATTTGAGAGCACAGAACTCTTTGTGTAGGAGCACCTATTAGCATTCTACAGAACAGTGTTCCCCAAACTCCAATTTGGAAAATGACTTCTCCAACCAGGAAGGGGTGCACTTGTTCCCCAAGGGAGGCTCTTGCAGTCAGTACTAGTCCATCCACAAGGAACAATGTCTGAACTATGTGAAAAATGCAAAACTTCAGAGTCTCTAGATAAAGAACTGGGGAAAAGCTCACTCATCTTTTCCTGAAGCTCCTTAGCCATGAACCACAGTGAGGGTATAAAAAGCCTTCAATGGCAATTCAGTCTAATGAGAAGAACAATGTGCTGGGATCCATGAATCCAAACCTGACATGCACGGGCTACACAATCTTGGCAAGTCTTCAACACTTAAGTGTCTAAAGGTTCACTAATAAGTTATCTCCACCAGTATCGGGTATAGGATACACAGTGATTAAGAGGACTTGTGTGAAGTCAGTCAACGTAGGTGCAAATCTCAGCTCCATCTCTTACCAGCTGTGTTATCTTGGAAACAAGTTAACTTCCATTGGACTTAGTTTTCTCTTTTCTAAAATGGAAACGATTTCACCTACCCCATTGGCTATCATGAGGGTTAAATGAGAAAATACACATCAAACACTTAGCACATTAATTTTTATACATATATTGTAACAAGAAAATGCAACAACTGATAGAAAATAGTTTTCTAAATTAAAAACTCTATGAAATTGTAAAGCAGCATTAGTTTTTTACTAATAGTGTAGCAAAGGAAACTAAATTAAGACTGTTTTTTAAAAGAAAACATATTAGACAGATAGATTTGGTTCTAAACCATTGCTCCTTATCCTTTTAAAAACCAATATCCCTAATCTGTTTTTCTCCCCAGTGTTTCGGCAACAGTCTACGTAGAGTTTTTTCAAGCTTTGTACTGTCTTACTGCAGAAAGAAACAGCTTTTCTGTTGGGGATAATAATAGTAATAAAATCATATTGTTTTAGATCTGTGGTCCAGCATGTTCTTTACAAGCAGGTATTGCTCCTGATGGAAAAATAAAGGTTATTGAAGGGTTAACTGACTTAGTGAAGGTCAACAACATGGAACAATCATTCTGCTCATAGAGCGGCAGGAAAGTCTGTATTCCTGACATATTTATAACTCTATGGCTAAGATGTTTGCTTAATGTTCTTTTTTATTTAAAGGTCTCTGACCATTTAAACCTTTTGCCTTTTAACTTAGATGTGCTTTGCTGGCTATTAATGCCTTTTAAGTACTTTCTGTATGCTCACATTAAGATCTGGACCTACCAATTTTCAAAGAGTTCTGCTTTGACAAAATTCCAAGGTAATTATAGCAATTGTTTTTTAAAAACATGTTCAAGTTAAAAATAAAACCTTCTTTTAGATTTGAAATTTCAAAGAATTAAATTTCCTTGCTTGTTGTAAGAAGATAATTCTTAGACTCTGTGATACTAAGAATAAGAAATACACTACATTTTGCATATAGGTTTAAAATGTATTTGAGGATGTCTGCTATTAACCTTGGAACATGATCCAAGACCAGGCTCAGAGATAGGAGCTAAAAATCTGAAGCCTAGGTTTTATTGCCAAACCTACAGAGAATTACATGTCTCCTTTCTAACTTTGATGTTTCTAGATAAAAAGGCAAAATATTTATTTGCTGCTTGATTACATGTTACTAAATAAAAGTGATATTTGTAAGTACTGCTGGGGTTAAATTATATAAATATTTTTATTAGCACATGATTGTAAGAGATAGGGATCCCAAAAGTAGATGTGCATGAACAGACACAAGTCAATACACATGCACAAAAAGAGATAGAGTTACGCATGGTGTGTGTCTAGATTTTCACAGCAGACACAGCCATATGTTTCTTATCTCAGCGGCTGCCCAGTGAACTCATGCATGTGGATAACAGTTCTAGCAGGCAAGAAGCCATATAAACAATGAGGATAACTCATAATGAAACAAAGAGGCATGCTAATAGCAAATTGTATCATGACAACAAACCCTACTCAACCAAACTTTTTTAATGAGTAATTTTGATAAATGAATACATCATATATTAACATAATAATCCCATTGAAAAAATAATCACAAGTTTGATAGTGATGGACTGCATAGCACTTTGTTCCATAAGATACGACGGTCACATCTGCTCCCTGACTTTTGTCTAGTTACCTTCATTATAATCTTTATGTGGTCAGCAGGACAGTACCAAGAAAATGTTGCCTGTTAGACAGCAGTTAAATTCCATGAACTGTTTTATTTTTTTCATTGCAATAGTGAAAAAAACTGCTTCTAGATTCAAAGGAATAAAGAATGGGACTTAAATTCTGTTTCTCTTTATGTAATAAATACGATGTACACTTTCTGCTTAGTTTGGGGTGGGGTGGGTAGTGTAATAAAGCTATAGAATTTTATTCATATGGGAAAATTTGTATATGTTAAAAGTAAGCCTTACATTTCACCTGATGTTTTCTTTTGAGAAAATACAGTTGCCCTGTTTAATTCAATGAGAAAAATATTTAATAATTGATGAGGATTTGTTGAGTTGAAAATTGTAAACAAGACGATATTTCAATATAACAGCTCTAAAATAACTAAACAGACATTCTCCGTTGTATTTATTTGCCCTTTCTATAGCACCTATCATCTTAATACTTAGACATAAAAGTACCAGGCATGATGTGAGGATGAAAATATTATGATCCCACCGAATTTTTTTATCTCAGTGAGTTAAAATACAATGTTCAGCCATACATATATTTTCCCTTGTTACTGTGCTTAGTTCTTGAGACTAAAAAATGCCGTGTAGACTACAAATACATAGTGATTGATGTGAAAGAAATACAAAAATGTGGCACTGCACTTTAATTTTAAAATGACTCAGCAGTTTAAATACAAATACGCAGTTATATAGTAGTGGTAGTTAATGGCCATGCTTTGTGTCTTAGTTTCATTCTCATTTTTGAAGAAACTTGTTTTTGTCATAATCTTTGATAACTAGTGGAAGTCCTGAGACCCACAGTAATCTGTTGGGTCTGTCAAGTGAAATATGAAAATGGTTTCCATAATAACAATTATTGATGCACTGTGCAAAATCCTTGTAATTGTAGTTTTGAAGACAAAGTGATTTGAAAGCATCAGATGCCTCACGTTCCTCATTGTATGCAATGGGAATTCACACTCATTTACAAATATTTGTTGAGTGCCTACTACATGCTAGGCAGTTTTCTACACAATGGGCTGTAGCAGCCAACAGGATGGAAAAATTATCTGGCCTTGTGGAACTCCTACTTTAGTGGAAGTGGGCTGCAGACACAGACAGACTGTATGTAACAACAACAATGTAGTATACAGATACTTCTCAACTCACAATGGGATTATGGTCTCAGTAAACCAACTGTAAATTGAAAATACTGTATGTAAAACATGCACCTACCCTACCTTAAACTTGCTCAGAACACTTAACATTAGCCTACAGTTGGCAAAAATCATCTAACACAAAGCCTGTTTTAAAATACAGTGTTGAATATCTCATGTAGTTTATTGAATGTGAAAAACAGAATGGTTGTATGGGCACTCAAGGTATGGCTTCTACTGAATGCATATCCCTTTCACAGCTTCTTAAAGTAAAAAAATTGTAGGTTGGAACATTGTAAATTGGGCATCATCTGTATTAGATGATGATAAGCACTACATAGAGAAAGATGAAAGGGAAGGAGAACCAGGAGTGCTTGTGAGTTTTGCAACTTGCAATAAATTAGCAAGGCTCACCTTGAGGATATGAAAGCAATAGTATAGCTTCATAGGATTCCACGAAGATTAAATTAATTATTATATGAAAAATGCTTCCAATGGTGTGTGGCACATAGTAAATGCTTAATAGCTGTTGGTTTAAAAAATAGGAGTGTCATTTAAGGAGATTTTAAGAAAAGTTTTCATTTGCTCTACAGTAACATTTCTTTATTTGCTATGGCCATTTTTATTTGGAATTGAGAATGAAATTGTATTTGAATTCTGTATAAAAAGATCAAAAAACTAATTTGTGAACTGGATAAAATGTAAAAACCAGGAAACCAAAGTCTTCATGCTTCATGGATAAATTATCCACAATTTGTCTCTGTCTTAATGGAGAGAGAGAGAGAGTAAGAAAGAGGGAGAAAGAGAGAAGAAAGAAGAAAGAAGAAGAAGAGGAAGGAGAAGAAGACGGAATAGGACGAGGAGGAGGAGCAAGAGGAGGAGGAGGAGAACAAGAAGAAGAGGAGGAGAAGGAGGAAAGAGAGGAAGGAAGGAAGGAAAGAAGGAGGGAAGGAGGGAAGGAAGGAGGGAGGGAGGGAAGGAAGGAAGGAAAGAAGGAAGGAAGGAAGGTCTTTATTAAGAATTGATTTTAAGTTTAAAGTTGTATTAGGACACAGAGATGATTCATTTTAACTTCATATGTATTCTAACTTGGAAGCTGCATCAGTTAAGAGAGATGCATACCAAATCTAGCTAAATACTCATCTTTACAAATTAAATTAACTGAGTACATACGTTTTATTGAACTAAAGTACAGAAACTGTATATATTCCTTTAGATTATTTTTCTTGACAAATAACTCTATTATTCTGGTAGGCAACTATATTTACAGGTATCATAGGGTACCCAGAATATCCTAGGCCTTTTGGAAGTTACTTTCATTCTTTCACCGAAAAGCTTTGAGGACTTGCTATGTGCTGAGTGCCAAGTTAGGACTGGTGATAACTGAGAAGTGGTCAGACACAATTCTTGTCAAGCCTTGTAGAGCTTACAGTCTTGTAAGGGAGGGTATGGAAGACCTCATTAGTTGTTCACATCCTTGTAAAGAAGGTGCCAACCCAGTTGTACTGGGAGGAAAACTGACCCCAACAAAAATTAAGCAACCTGTCAAAGGTCACAGAATCAAGTGGCAAAACCAGCAATCAGTTTGTCTTTCTGGCTCTCAGGCATCAGCTCATGTGCTGCTGCTTCACTCTCATTTGAATATGAAATGCAAACGCAGCTTATATTTTGGGAGACACAGATTTGCCTTTTTAATTGTGACTTGCTTATCCAACTTTTAAAAATTAATGTCCATTGCTCAAAGACACGTAAATTCATGGAGTGGAAGGATAAGCCATAAGCAGACTGTGTAACTCAGTGAAGCTAAATTGTGATTCACATTTTGCCTTAGGTAAATCACACATGGATTCATTTAAAATGGACTACATTATGGTTTGTGTACTTTAATAACATATTGACCACATTGTGCAGAAAATATAGTTAAGAAACATCAATCTATTTTGTAGTTTATGAGTTAATGTCCTTAAAATGATGGCCAATAACTTGTAAGCCAATGGTATATTTTTCTTTTTTTTTCTGTTTGCCAGCAAGAATTCAATAGAGAGCCTCACTAATAGAGTGGTTTGCAATTTAGGACTGATTAGGACTAAAACATTATGAAACATTACATAGTAAAAAGGCAACTGCCAGTTGGTTGTTCCAAATTCCATCCAAGAGACCCTTCTTCCTGTCTGCTTTCCTGTGTTTGGTCTCCAGGAACTCATGTGACCCATTTCCAGCCATTGAAATATAAGCAGAGATACAGTTGATGCTTCTGGAAAGCTTTCTAAATGGAACAGACTTGGTTTTGCTCTTAGCCTTTTTTTTCTTCCTACTATGGAGAGGGAGGGGCAGCTGTATTTAAGAAAGGGAGCAGGAAAATAAAATGAGATTGGGGCTTTGGTGTGCCAGGGAGCTGCACAGTCTTGAACTGTGGCTGCTTATTTTTCGATTTCTTGTTTCACTGCAAGGGATGGACAAAAATATGTATCTTTAACTGGCATTAGTTAGGTTTTTCCATTGTTTGTAGATGAAAGCTATGGAAATCAGTATCATAATCTCCCTCCCTCCCTTGTTTCCTCTTATTTTCATTTTATTTTATTTCCATGTTTCTGACCAGGTTTCATTTCTTTCTCCCTATTCTTCTCTATCAGCTATCTAATTCATTTTAGCTTCAACTATGGTAGAACTAATTACCTATTTGATGACTCTCAAATCTATCAAAACTAAAAATGAATCCTCCTGAATTAAGGAATGAAATATAAGATCGTTTCCCATTCTCTTTTCTTTGTACCCCTTCCTCAAAATAGCAAGTTGCTGAATTCTAAGAGTCTGAATTTGTAATGTCTTTCATAGCTGTTCCAACCTTCATTTCTTGATCTGCAGTCCAATTCTATACCCCTGAGCTATACTCCCTCTTCCAATCCTCGTTTCTTTTTTTTTTGTTTGAGACAGTCTCCCTCTGTCACCCAGGCTGGAGTGCGGTGGCACCATCTCGGCTCACTGCAAGCTCCTCCTCCCAGGTTCATGCCATTCTCCTGCCTCAGCACCCCCCACCCCCCGAGTAGCTGGGATTACAGGCGCCTGCCACCACGCCTGGCTAATTTTGTTTTGTATTTTTAGTAGAGATGGGGTTTCACCATGTTAGCCAGGATGGTCTCGATCTCCTGATCTCGTGATCTGCCCGCCTTGGCCTCCCAAAGTGCTGGGATTACAGGCATGAGCCACCGCACCCTGCTCCAACCTTCATTTCTTATCACAGCAATTTGATATCAGTTTCTCATGATTTCTTAGCGAGGCTATGCAACAGGAGTTGTATTCAGCCCATCCCATCCACCAATGTCCCATTTATATTCCTAGAGTTCAATCTTTATTCACCAAGGAATTAAAACTCAAGCCATTCTTGTTTACCAATTTAAGATGTTTTACTTCAAAGCACCACCCAATACTAGCAAGAACACAGGGAAAATGGCACTCTCAAATATGATAGTGTAATTGTAAACTGGTAAAATGCTTTTTTTCCCTTAGAGACAGGTTCTTAATTGCCTAAGCTGATCTTAGCTCACCAGGCAATCCTCCCACCTCAGCCTCCTGAGTATCTGGGATTACAGGCACATGCCACCACTTCCAGCTTATTTTTTTTTATTTTTGGTAGAGACAGAGTCTCTCTACATTTCTCAGGCTGGTTTCGAACTTATGGCCTCAAGCAATCCTGTCACTTCCGCTTCCCAAAGTATTGAGCCTGTAAGTGTGAGCCATTGCAGCTGGCCATAAACTGATAAAATACTTTTGAAAAATAATTTGACAGTAGGTTTCTATAACAGTAAAAATAAACTCATATTCTCTGTTTCAGTAACACAACTTAGAGGAAACTATCTAAAATAAAATTGTATTTTTTTTACAAGAAGAAGCTAAGATATTCACTATTATGTAAATACAATTGCAAAAATTTGGGAAAATTCTAATGTTACGTGCTATATAGTTATTTATCAGTTTTATCTAAGCTCATCTTAATATAATACCTAGGTTAATGTATTGTATATAGCATGAAATTAAAGTGGTATTTTGCAAACTAGATAAACTTTAGTGGAATTAAATTATTTCCATGGAGAGTACTATTTTCATTTGTAAAGTTAAAAAAGCAAGGATACCTATAGTTCAGATCTCATATGCCTCAATTTATTATATTTTAAAATGCAGATTATTTATTACTTTACAGCTCTAATGTTTATAACCTCAAAATTTGCAAATGTCATTTTTTTTAAAACAAATTTGCTGTGAATTTTCCTTCTGGTATTAAAAAATTGAATGTTTTTAATCTAACACAGTAGAATGCTATCTAATTTTAATAAAAAATGAAGAGGAATATAATTGAATAATTTTTAAACAATTCCATATGAAAGAGAAAATGGAATGCTCCAAATGTATTATATTTATATAAAAACTTCTACTTAGAAGAAGGTTGCTTGAGGAACACTGCCAGAATTAATGTTCAAAAGGTATTTACCGACACATTGCAGAATTTTGTTATTTTCAATATGTGCACCCAAATGGAAACTCAAGTTTTCTGCTAAATTGTGTTTTAACGTATATCATTCTATGTTTATATATTATAGTTGTTTCATTGATTCAAGAAGCATTCATTAATCACCTACTATGTGCAAAACAGTGTGAGGGTAAAAGAAAGGCTAAATAGGTGATTAAAGTACAGCTCTTGTTCTGAGAGGGGTTACATGTAATAGGTGAGCCAACAATACTTCATGGAAGTAGAAAGGTGTGAGAACCTGAAGAATAAATGAGGGAATCAACATTTATTGGATGCTTACTTGGGCCAGTATATCTCCCATTGGCGCAGGTAAGCATCTAATAAATCTTAATCTTTCAATGTGGGGAAAATGTTATTTAAGTAGGTGGAAAAATAGAGAATCAGAAAGAAGATGAAAGCCCAGCTAGTCAGCAGCTGAAGCACTCTTTCCATTATACCACAAGAAGCTCCAAGAAGGGAAAGATAACTTTTTGGTGAGAGGATGGATATGTATACATGTATGTGGGGTATGCAGGAATCGTTTTTAGAGGATTCCAGAGAAGACAGAGGAAGATCATCGCAAGGTGTGTGCCCAGGCTGGAGGGGAAAGTATGAGGTATGAATATGGAAGTGGGGCCTTTATGTGTCACAGTATTTTGTTGTAACTAATTTGTGCCAACTTGGCTTTGTAAAGACAGATATGTTATAATTAGTGCATGTGAGGGAAAGGGGGCTAGATGCAGAGCTCAGAGCTGGGAAGCAGACATGATAGTGGAGGTGAGTCTGGAAAAGGCCTGCATGAAAGTGACTGGAGGAAGGTGGAAAAGAAGACACATCTGAAGATGTGATGAAGATATTTAAACTAGAAGGACCGAAAACTGTATTGATTGCAATAAAACAAAGTTACGAAATGGCATTTTCCCCCTAATTTGCAGACAGCTCATCCCCCAAATCAAAACATGTTGTTTACCAAGTAATCACATAATATCACCAGCTGTTTGCAGTTATAGGAAGGCTTTTACATGTCTTTCTCACTTTCTCATACTTGAACAGGAAAATTCCCCTTTGCTGCACATTATTGCCAAGATATGACATATGAAAAATAGAGGCTTGAAAACCTAACAGTACATGTTCACTTTCGGCCTTAGGAAAAAAATCAAGATTGTATTTTAAAATTTGTTCAGAGTTCTGGAAATCAGCTTTATTTTCCTTTCTAGTTAATTCTAATCTTTCAACATAGCTTTTACCTCTAAAAGGGACTTCATTCCTACCCTATTCCTTGAAATCGTATTAGTGCTAAATCATCTATGGTTTCACTAATCCAAAGCCTTACAATCTCTAAATGTACACAGATATTGAACAGAGTTTTTACCTTAGATAAATCTGGGTGAGGTATAAGTAATGCTCTTAATACTGTAAAAGATTTTTCTGGCCGGGCGCGGTGGCTCCCGCCTGTAATCCCGGCACTTTGGGAGGCCCAGGCGGTCACCTGAGGTCGGGAGTTCAAGACCAGCCTGACCAACATGGAGAAACCCCATCTCTACTAAAAATACAAAAATTAGCCAGGCGTGGTGGCGCATGCCCGTAATCCTAGCTACTTGTGAGTCTGAGGCAGGAGAATCGCTTGAACGCGGGAGGCGGAGGTTGCAGTGAGCCGAAATCGCGCCGTTGCACTCCAGCCTGGGCAACAAGAGCGAAACTTCGTCTCAAAATAAATAAATAAATAAATAAAATAAAAAATAAAAAAAGATTTTTCTAACCACTAATTTTACAAAGACAGTATCACCACTGGTTGAGTATAAGAAGAGCTGGCAAAAAGTTTGTGGGCAGGTAACACTTACTTTTACATTAACATTATTTCTAATTGTAAATTTTCCTGTTGTTTGAATTAGATATTTTATCTGCTTTGAGGGTGTTTGGGTGTGGTTTTCTTTTCTGGACAATGTGTTAGGTAAAAGAAACTCAATGCATGCGTTATGTGTAAGAAATTAAGAATACCCAACTTTATCTTCTTTGTTCATAATTCATCCTTCTTTTGGTTATCTAAGACTAAGTAAATGAAGTTTTTATATATAGTTAGGGAAATGGGTTATCATTCTTTATCAAAATCATCTTGGTTTTAAACAGGATTGAAGCCACATAGTATTGGATTCGACAGATACTTTCAACCCCCAAATTCTATGACCGTACTTTCTCGCTACACATTCTTTTACATGGTCCTCTTGAATTAAGGATGAAATAAATTTGCCATCTTTACATTTTCTGACTTTTCACATCTCTGCAAACACAGAGGTAGAGAGGAAAAAGGTCTAAACATTAAAAATCCGCACCTTTGCCAAGGTAGTGTACTTTTCCCTATCTTCTTCCCTTCCGTCCACACCTTACTTTTCTTTAAATCTAAATTCTATATGGAGATAGAATTACATGAACTAGTTTGGAAACGCATGCGTGTGTACACACACACACTCCTCTAGTGATCTCCGTTATCATCCATGCTTTGTATTATTTCAAATGTTTTTGCTCTTTTACACGCACCCCAAGTCCACACAATGAAGTGATTCTCTCTTCTAAACCTGTTTTTCTCTTTTCTCCTTTTCCTTTTCATAGCTAGGAAGTTGCCTTAAGATTTCTACTCCATATCTGTCAACAATTTTTAAAATCTGCATCTTTTCCCCCCAATGCTTGATGTACTTTTTTTTTTTTTTAACCACACAGGGTATCCAGACTCTAGATACTAACCTTGACCTACCCCTAGTTTCCTTATCCCTCTGGAATGGATTCTTGTAGTTTGTTTTCTATCTTTCATCACTCTCCTAACAAGCCCGTGGCTTATGCCATAGGAAGGCAGTGCAGTTTGCTTTTCCACGTGCAGAAGCACTCGCTATAGAATATATTTATGGTCTATCCGCCACTCAGCTCACTCGAGAAAGAGCTGTTAGTACAAGAACTGCCACGATGACATAATTTCTTACAGCATCCTTCCACCCTTACAGTGAAACTCCCTTCCTTCACTCCCTGCCCCACCTAGAGGGAAACTTCACAGTGATTCTAGTAGAGGCAAGTTTCTCGTTGAAATCCTGCGCAGTTGTTGATATTCTGCTGCTTTTCAAACTTGTGTTTTCACGTCGTTTCCATCCGGGTGTAGTGGAGTGTAAGGGGCTGTTTACCCTAGGCCCAGGATCGGATCAGGGAGTGGGAGTTGCGGCTGCATTCCCCGGAACAGAGACCGCACCGCAGCAACCACCAACCCCTCACCCCCGAGTCCCACTGGGTTCCCGACGCCCTCGCTGCGCCCGCGCCTTCCCGCTCCCGCCGCTGAGGCTACTTCACTCGAGCAGTGCTCCACAAATTTCAGACATTTCTTCCTCTTCGAAACCTCAAGACCAGGACAGACCCCTCCTCTGAATCCTGCTGCCTTCCTAAGACGCATCTTAGGCTGTGGGACCCCTCCTCTAGGTTGGACCACCCATCCCATTTTCCCCAGAACCTAGGAGTGGCAAGAGGCAGAGAACGCACCAGGCAGACGCCGCCTTTGTTGTCATTAGGAACGCACACCGCGCCTGAAGTGGCTGGAAACCGCCACACCGATGGGGAGCCCAGCTGGCCCTGGCTCACATTCGTGCCTTCGTTCTCATTTCCTGTTTCTCGGCCTCTCCCTTGTTTCTCTTCCCACCCCACTCCACGCCACAGTACAGCAAAGCTTTCTCTCTGCACACAAACTTCCCCTTCCCGGCCTTCCCACAGCCCTGGCGATTTCCCACGCGGGGCGGGCCGGGCCGGGGGCGCGGGGCAGGGGAATACTGTCGTGCCCGGAGCGCCGCGCTCACCTAGGATGGTGAGGAGGCGGGCCCACAGCCTCCCGCCTCCGTCCGCCGCGCGCCCCGCCCGCCCGGCCGCTTCCGCCCCGTCTGCTCCCCGCCCCCGCCGACCCTCCGGCTCGGCGCTGACCCCGCGCCCTCCGAGCCGCCGCGGGAACTGCAGGGCCGCCCGGCCGCCTCCTCCCTCTCCCGCCCCACAATCCCGCGGATCCGCTCCCCGGGGCGCGGAGGCGGGGAGGGAGGGGCTGCCGGGGAGAGCGTCAAGGACTCGGCTCCGGGCCGTCCGCTTCTTGGGGCTCCGCTCTGGGCGTGGGGCAGTGGAGCTGGACTCCCTTCCCCGCCGCCCCCGGGCCCCGCGGGGGTCTGCAGATCCCGCTTCCTCTGCCCCAGTCCTCCAAGTTTGCGTGCTTTCCCACAGAACTGGCGCAGGCAGGGGCCCCTTCGCTGGGGTGGCGAGGCCAGGCGCGCATCTCCGCCTCGCCCCCATTCATCCCGCCAAGGTGAAGCGCAGGGAAAAGGGGCGCCCCCGCTTCGCCCGCAACGTGCGTCGCTCCGGAACCCAAACAATGACTCCCCTGCCTGCCGCGCCCGGCCCTCCGCCCGCCCCACCGGCGCGCGGGGGGCACCGCCCGCGGGGCTGCCCCTGCCTGACCCCATTGTTGCCCGGCGCGGGCGATGCCCGGCGCCCAGGGGCGGTCCCCGCGAGCTGCCCCACAGTCCCGGCCGGCTCCGCCCACACCTTTCCAAGTTCGCTGGCGGGCGAGCCGCGGGGACGACCCGGGCGACAGCCCCCTCCCTCCACTGCGCGCCCCCACCCGGGCGGGTGCGGCGAGGGGTGGGGGCCCAAGCGGGCTGCACGCTTTTTGGGTCCCCGAATTCTCCTAAGCCTGTCTGGCGCGCTCTGACACAAAAGAGGAGACTTTCTCGCGGCTCGGCGCGAGTCCTTGCCCAGCGAGTTGCTCTCCAGGGGTCCCTCCCGCCGCAAGCCCCCGCGGGCCCCCTCGGCCGACGACTCCCCGAGCTCCCAGGGCCATGTGTGGGTTATTTGGGGTGCCGCAGCAAAGTGGTGCAGGTGAAAGGGAAGCGCTGCCGAGGCCCGGGGCCGGAGGGCGGGGGCAGGGGTGGGGCGGGGTGGGGCGGGGTGGAGGCGCCGCGGACCCAGCCCGGCGGTCCGGGCGGGGAGGCGAGGGCCGGGCAGTGGGTGTTGCCTTCTACCTCTGCGAGCGGGGAGGGGTTAGTTTCCCACAGGGGATTTCAACCATCACACTCAGAGCCCGCCTCCTAATCCTCGGGCGGAGCGGCTCGGGGGCCCCATTTTATGGCAATAAAGCGACTTAGCGCCTGCTGAGCGAGCCCCTCCCCGCCGCCGCCCCCGCCCTCGGCCCCACCCCGGGGCTCGCCGGCAGCGGCGGGGCTTTGTTTCTGGGGAGGAGGACCCGGAGCTCTTTTGTTTGGGGGTTTCTTGTTTTCGGCCCCCCCCCTCACAGCACCCCACCCCACCCCACCCCAAGCGCCTCTCCGGTTTCCTGAGCTGCGGGCTGCGAGGGAGGAGAAGCGGCGTCCTGCAACCCCCTCGGCTGGGCCCCGGGGTAATTCGATGCGGGCCTGGCGAGGCTCCCCACACTAGACCGGGGCTCGCAACTCGGCAGCCTCCACCCACCGGCCCACCCTACATTTAGCGCATCATGTGATCCGGGTAAGTCATTTGCAAGTACAACAGTTCCCCGGGTTGCCCCCCATTCATTTCCTGAGAACTGCAGAGAGCCGCTGAGAGGCTCTGCGTGTGCGTGTGCGCGGGTGACGCCGTGTGTGTGCGAGTGTGTGTGTGTGTGTGCGCGCGCGCGTGTGAGAGAGAGAAAGGGAGAGAGAGAGGGGGACTCTGTGTGAGGGAAAGAAAACAATTTCTCCTGCTCTGCAGCTTCTGTTCAGGTCTGTGCCGATTCCGTTTCTTATCAAAATAAACAACCCCCTCCTCTTTTTTTTTTTTTTTTGCCATCCCAAATCAGACCGTATTCTCTTAACGTGTTTTATTTTCCTTCTGTCATCTGCTCAAGTTAAATCATTTTGGTTGGTCTGTGTTCTTAAAGGGGGAAAGTGCTGGGAAGCGGGAGGGGGCCGGGGAAGGGCGATGCTGTTGCAAAGCAAGTAGCGTCGGTCGGATTCGTGGAGAAGAAAGAAGGAGGTTTCTTCCCCACCTCCCCTAATTTTTTTTTTCCAGAAGAAGTTATCAAGTAACGTGAATTAAGCAAGTGTTTTTCTACCCCTAGTGGAATTGTTGGTTGCAGTGTTTGCCTGACAGTTGCCAAGGATGTGAAATAAAACCCCAGGGCTGAACTTGGGGGGGAGGGGGGGCTCGTGGAAGTAGTTGGCCCCCCGGCCTCGAGCGGGGTGGATGAATAGCTCCGCACCGGGACCGTGTGGGCTGTGTGTGCGCGCTGGAGAGAGTGGAGGGGAAGGGGTTAAGGCGGAGATGACACTGCTGGCATGAATAGTGCTCCTGGTGCTACATTCATTATTGTCTCTGGTCGTAATGATGTGTAACTGTCACTTGCTACAGTGCCTGGTCCATGCAAGTAGCCAGGGGCTGGCCGGTGGCTGTTATTTTCAATTACGGGGGACCTGGCCGGAGTTGACAAGGGGCAACTTTGTACGTCCACCCGGGCCGGGAACCCGCAGAGCCGGCCTGGGAGCCACTTCTTGCCTCAGAAGCTCACTCTGAGGGTTCAGACTTGACCTCCGCGACATTAGTTGGTGTTCACGTTAGATGCTCCCCTACGGGGAGAATCAGTCCTGCTTTTGTTGGGTAGCGAGCTGTCTGCAAGAACTTTGAAAACTTTTATCTTTGGGGAAAAGGGTGGGGTGCACTCAACAGTTTTGTTTCGCAGTGCATTTGAGGCAAATGCTTGGAAAAAGTACCAATTCCTTTGTTATATGCCCTGCAGCTTCCCAACCCCCTTCACCCTGCGCTTCGAGTTTTGCATACTTTAATAGTAATAGTCTTATTTCAGCTGATAAAAGCTGACTGTGTTGAGTTAAAGAGTATTAATACAACGGAATGTGTAATCTGGATAAACAGTTTGCGTAGTTAGTATTGTCAGCACTCTAATTTAACTGTATAGATGGCTAAAGTGTCGTTCTGTATGGATTGTTTTAGATAATTCCACTGGCTAATGGAATTCTCGGCGAGCACTCTGATATTTTATTTTACACCAGCGTTAAGATTCTCTGTTTCCCTGTAACATCGGAGAGACGAGCAACTCTATTTACATTTAGTGCGTGTGCATCTAGTGACTTCGGTAGACATCTGCCAATCAAATACACGTCATTCTGCAAAACCACCTAGACGCCTCCATGCCCTTTTCTTACTGGACGATAGAGTTGTTTAGATAAGTAAATGCTTTGAAATAAATTTGGTGGCTTTTAGCAAGAAGCAGCTTGTGATGGGAATAGGAGTGGTCACTTTGAGGAGTGGGTGTATACCGTCTTCTAAGAAACGCTTTTAGAACTGACATTTATTTAAAACAGTGGACCCCCCCTCCCTCAAGGAAAAAAGCTTGCTTGTGCTATTCTCAGACCTCATTCACATGTTGTGTGCATTTTTTAAGACCACATAGAAATTGGTTCCGATAAAGGAGTATACTTTTAGGTTAGAAAATTTCAAACTGTAGAAGCATAGTGGAAATAGGATGTTGAAGGACAGACGTTTCAGTTGGGTAAGTTATATCTTTATTGTTGCAGACGGGTCTTGATACTAGATTGAATATATTAAGCTCCTTTGAGTTGGGGAAAGAGCAATTTGAGCATATAAAAATTAGGAAAGCAGTTTATTATTCTGCCAATTTAATAACTATTATGAAATGTACTGGGAAAATTTGAAATTTGAAATGTTTTCACATAAAATTTTCATAATTTTGAACTAAGACCATGTAACCAACATGGCTATGTCAGGTTAAACAAAACATTCTTGAGGGTTTCTGTTTATTTTTGAAAACCTTCAGTTATTTATCTACTACTTAGCAATGCAGTCAGCTGAACTTTATTGTGGAATGCTTTTTATTACTGTTTATTGAAAAAAATTGTTGTGCTAATGAGTCCTTAATATTCTCCACCTCCCACTCCCCAGAAGTTCTTTTTACAGCAATGACTATCATTTGGGAGTAAATGGTCCTGGTATAGCATTTGAGACCTTGACCTTAGCAACTCTTGGCTGGTGGTTGTTTACTACAGCTGCAGCCTATGTGTGTGCTGAAAGGGAAGGTCTGCAAACACTAGTGTACTCACTCTCCCCAGGCCAAAGGGAGAACAAATCGGGATGCTTGACGTTCATTCTGAAGAACATGCATCTGGCCTGTAATATCCATCGTGTTCTGGTCATGTGAAAATATACATGTTGCTCAGGGATATTTTCCCTGACTCCTGTTCAGGGAAAGTATGCACTTTAACAGGCTCCAGTGAGTTTTAGATGTTACAGTATATCATGAAACAGGCTGTTATCAACTTACTGAAATAATTTGGCCTTAAATATAGGTGTGTTTTATCTCTGCAGAGACAACGTAAGTGCTTAGGCCTCTAGGCCTATGCTGAGAGCATTTTGAATTCAAGCCAGTGTTGGTTAATCTAGAGTTTGGGGTAACCTTACCCAGTGAAGGCATATTGTTAAGTAGATGAACATATAGAGGTCCTGGACATTTTTTCCATTGTACAACATGGAAAGCATGGGACTTTATGTTTTTGCAAATTAATAATATTACAATGATCACATTAAATTGGAGTGTCAAATGGTTTGTTTTCTTTATATTGTGAGAGAAGCAGTCAAGTTCATAAATCTAGCTGTAGATTGTGTATTAAACTATAAAACTAGTAATGGCACAAACTCATTTGAAAAGTTTTTGTTTATAAGTTTTTCTGCTTGCCACTTGCATGCTGATTAATGAACATGAGCTAAAATCCCAAGACAGTTTTATTCAAAATCAACACCATTATTACCTTTTCTGCTTAGAAAACAGCTTTTTTTTTTTTTTTGAGTTGAGGTCTCACTCTGTCACCCAGGCGGGACTGCAGTGGCATCATCATAGCTCAAATTCCCGGGCTCAAGGGATCCTCCCACCTTAGCCTCCCAAGTAGGCAGGACTACAGGTGCACACTGCCACACCCAGCTAAAAATTTTTTTGTAGACACGGGGTCTTAACTGTGTTGTCCAGGCTAGATCCTGAATTCCTGGCCTCAAGCAAACCTCCTGCCAAAGTGCTGGGATTATAGGCATCAGCGACTGCGCTGGCTACAAGTTTAATTTTTAAAATAAGTCTGAAATAGGTTGTAGTTGCTTATCTGTCATTTTCTATTTGAAAATACTGTATGATCATAGACTGGAAATGGCTTATATTTTTGCCCAGTGTTTATTTTTCCTTTCAAACTCACACTTACTTGTTTTTCGGCCTGCAATTTATGCACAGCTTTGAACTTTTAACTGTGTACAGAATGTAAGGGTAAAAATATTAAAATTAAATCACTGGCAACGCCCTATAACCACAGCCTTAACTCATCTACCACAACCACTCCTCCCAAAAGCAAGCAAGTAAACAGATGGGCCTTGCCCTATGCCCAGAAGGTCAACAGTCTTAGGCTCTGTTAGACCTGCTAAGTTTCTGGATCCCAAGCCCAGCCCAGAGAGCTGCCTGACTTCCACCCGCCAGAATTCATTTTTAGGGCCTAGGTCGGCCACACCCCATCTGATGTCAGCTATTGAGTTCTTGTGGTAGAGAACACATGCTGTGGATTAAATGGTTACTTTCTCTCTATATTGTCAGTAATTATGTTACAAAAGGATTTTTCCGTTTTGGGTGTTTATTGTCATAAAGTGGCTACTTGAGTAGTCTTATTGCTCCATAAAAATTTGTTTTGGTCGGCAGTAGATTACAGGATATTCACCCAAAGAATTCTGCTCTGGTATGGTCTTTCTTCCTGTCTTTTTTTTTTTTTCAACTTAAAGTCATGTGTTTCTTTTGTTGCTACTCTCATGGTCTACATTTTTGAATATTTATTAGTGTAATAATTAGACTGCTCCAAACACATTTGCTGTCTGGTGCAGAAGTAGCAGGAAGCCCTTACTGCTGTACTGCTGCATGGAAGGTGAGAGTGGAATAAATTAGGAGACCTTTGGGATAGTTTCCCCACCACTATCAGTGACTGTAGAAGCTACCACGATAACTACCTGCTGGCTTTGACAGCCATGAATTGTGTCCCAAGTGTGACATTTGCCATGCTTCTCAGTATATATGGCCTTTCACAGTAATTCCTGGCATGATGTATATGTATACAGTTGGCCCTCTTTATTCGTGGGTTCTGCATTAAGGGAGTCAATCAATTGTAGATTGAAAACGTTCAAGAAAAAAATACAACAATAAAAATGATACAAATAAAATCATAACTTTATATAGCATTTACATTGTATAAGTGATTGTAAGTAATCTAGAGATGATTTAAAGTATGTAGGAGGATGTGCACAGGTTATATGCAAATACTGCATTATTTTTTATAACGGACTTGAGCATCCATGGATTTTGGTATCTGCTGTGGGATGGGATCCTGGAGTCAACCCTCCAAGGGTACTGAAGAATGACTACATACTGTATATACATATATATTCATCATCTTATATATCTATATGTGTATGTGTATATTTAGTATTTATCTTTATATGTTTTTACATGTGTTTTTGTAGTCTATATCTATATTAGTACATAACCCACCCACACACACCATACACAAGAGCAAGAATTACAGTAAAATTTCATGACCGAGAAATACAGTAAAAAGCCACACGTGTGTATAAAAAAGGGGGAAAAACAGTCTTTAAAAAAAATTCTATCTTTAGTAATACTGTGCTCACTTTGAAATTATCGAGCTAACTTGTAACAAAAGAAAAACAACCCTGCCTTAAAGAAAACAAACCTAAATGGCAACCAAGTTAAATTATTCGAAAACAATGTAAAGAAAACCTTCCTTCATTTCACAATGAATGGTAACCTCTAAGATGATACATCCTTGAATCACAACTAATTTCAGTGGCAGAAATATCTCAGTTCGATTCTTACTCTCTTGCTTGCTAACTATGGATGACCTTGGTCAAATTTCTTAACCTCTCTGAGTTTATACAATGGAAAAAATAATATGTAGTTTACAGGGCTGTGGTGAGGGTTAAATGGGGTAATGTGGCCAAAAGTCACTTTGTAAAACTACAAAGTTCTTGTGTGGCAACTGATTTGATAGGAAAAGCACTCCAGCCATACCTCCACCGCCCCCACACTGCCCTCCCCTGAAAGGGATAAACTTTCCTGTTTCTCAAAGTGAGCATATAAATTACACTTATGGGGAAGGAATTTCCGAGTGTGGGTAGAAAACTCTGGCAGTCAAAGGTCATGAATTCCATTCCTGTCTCACCAGAGATTTGCTCTGTGACCTTGAGAAAGTCACTCTTAAAAAGTTTCAACGTAGCTGGTATAAAAGTTACTGATTATTAACATTTATATAATACAGGTGAAGTATCCAAGCTTGTCAAAAGAAAAACACATGAAATTACAGTTCACATGATCATTTACAGAAAATTGAAAATAAAGATGAACAATGATTAGAGATTGAAAATCTGCAGGCTACTTCTTTAATGAGTCACCTGAAGCTTCTATCAACTGGTCATTAAAAAGAATGCCCTTAATTTTAAAAATAGAATTATTAAATTTGTGATATACTATAATTTCAAGCAGTACATTGAACTGCAAATCCCCAGTTAAATCAAGATTGTGTTGATTAAGCTATGTCTGATTTATGGCTTAAAAGTCACTTGGTTAGACTCAAACATTGTTGCAACATGCTATATGTTATTCTTAACTAACATTATACAAAATGCACAATAAAGGTAGATAATGAGGATCTTACACGTTATTTGTACATTTATTGAATACCTATTTATAATCACGCATGATTTCTCCGCAACTGCATTTTCTCCAGTTAAAAAAGAAACAAAAACAATTTTTTTAAACCCTTGCAAGAGCAAAGAAACAAACTCAAACTATCTCTTCAATATAACTGATTTAGACTCTTTCCATGTTACAGGTATCTTGCCTGACTCCAATTCATGTTACAATTATCACTGCAAACATCAGCATCACTTTTTGTGGGACTCTCTTATTTATCATCCCCTGCTTTAAGAATACACTGTGTTCCGGTTGGTATTCTCGGGCCCCACAACTCATAGTATTCCTTCTGGTGTTAATTGCTTGTTGATTTGCCTTGTTCTAAATGCCCCTATCATGGTCTTTTCCACCCTAAGTAGCTAAATATATTCAACGCTGTCAACCATTCCTCGATTCACTTTATTTCCCTGAAAAAATTTTTTATGTCTTCTTGCAAAAAGAAATCTTGTAGTATAGTAGAATTAAACCATGCTGCATTTATAAATATTTGCTCTAGTGTATTGATGGCTCTCTTAAAAGCTGCCATTCAGGCCGGGTTTGGTGGCGTGTGCCTGTATTCCCAGTTACTTGGGAGGCTGAGGCAGGAGGATCCCTTGATCCCAGAGTTCAGGGCTACAACGAGCTATGATCAATTGAGCCAATGCACTCCAGCCTTGAAAACCCTGTCTCTAAAACAACAGTAACAACAAACAGCCATTCAGAGTAAATAGTAGGTACAAAATAAAATACTCCTTATTGTATACCTAGTATAATACAGAAGTTAAGAACTTGGTTTTTCATATGTTAGTGTGTTTAATATGTACTCTTTAGTAAACAGGTACTGGTAGCCCTTGGCTTTTATATCATTGACTTTTCAAATAACTGGCACATGGAATACTATACGTGTCACCTCTGAAATGCCATTTATATACTGGATTTTGACTTACGAACATCATTTGATGAATGCCTTTTTTGGGCTGTTTGTGTTGCTGTCTTGCCAAGTAACCCCCACCTGCTACAGAACTGTGACTTTGCCACTTTTGGCAAAAATTTCAAAAATTATTTGGAAAATTTTATTGCTTTTTACCTTATTTTAACAAAACAAGTGGAAAAAGGGGAAATGAAAGCATCTAGTTATGAGAAAGTTTATTATCTTGATATAAAATTGAGACAATAATCATTAGATGTGCTGAAAGTGATGAATCTTTATTGGAAGTGCTGCATGGAGTTAAGCTGATGAATTGTGAAAAAAATTGTGAAAAAAATGAAATAGAACACAAAAAATACAAATACTTTTAATGACTAATAGATTGTATATAATGGCAGATTTTGTGATTTTCCTTTTGTCTGTGAGAATGAGTCTCCTTTAAAACATGTCTGGTCCCTTCACTTCTGCATATTTGAGTTTTGTATGCTTTCAGGAGAAAACGTACAAAATCTCATACAATTATTAGATTCCATCCTTTATTAAATAAATATTCAATGATATTTGTATAATATAGGTATAGTAATCCTCATAGCCTATGTATCATATGTATTTGTATCATTTAATATATATTTGAATCGTACAACTTATATGTCATGTATAGTATATGTTATATGACATGTAATACAGCACATATGTGCTATATGCACTATGTTATGCTTTCTGTTTTATTGTTGGACTCTTATGAACTGTATTATGATTTTTATTTCATAGATGTGGAAATTGATTTTCAGCAAAGTAAAGTAATGAAATTATAGTGAATAGCCAGTTAGCTGTAGAGAGCTGAACGCTAGAAAGCCCCCTGGACTTTCCCCTTGTGTTACTCCTACCTCCCTCTATCATTAAACGTAATATTCCAGAGTTAGCCTTACTGTAGAATAAAGCAAAAGTGGAAGGATTATACAAATAAATATGGTTTAGAGGCTGTATTATTATATTTGTTGTAGATCATATTGACATACTGTGTTTACTAGAATACGTTTACTACAAGATATACTTCAATAAAGAAGTCAATTGTTTGCTGATATATGTAGTAAAACAAATTATGATACCTTATCCAAAAAATTATTTTAGAAGTAAACTGCTATAGGATGTTCTGCAGCAGTGGTAATAGTAGACCAATAAATTCTGGCTAATATGCATTCTGCTATTGGATAAAGCTATCAAAGTTAGGGACATAATACAAATAATAATAACGTTATTTTTATTAGAACATGCCTCAGTTATCCGTTTGACTTACACGTATTTAGCTCCTACTACATCTATAGACCCTTATATGAAAATGGGTAGCACAATATCCAGTATCGTTAGTGAGCTGAAAATCAAGGAGGGTGGGGTAAGAATTATGTGGCACATTATAATGTAAGGTAATTTGTGATAAATGGACCAAGTGCTGTAAGTTGTTTAAAGCACCTGGGGAAAAATTGTTTCTATCTGGGAAATTGAGGTTTCAGGGTTTTAGTAGATATATGGAAAAGATTCGTTATATAAACAGTGTGTATGTGTATCTTTTTATATAAACAGTGTGTTTTTTAAATATAAACTGTGTGTGTGTGTGTGTGTGTGTATATATATATATTTTTTTTTTTGAAACGGAGTCTTGCTCTGTTGCTCAGGCCGGAGTGCAGTGACACCATCTCAGCTCACTGCAACCTCTGCCTCTTGGGTTCAAGCAATTCTCCTGCTTCAGCCTTCCGAGTAGGTGGGACTCAGGTGTGTGCCACCATGACCAGCTGATTTTTTGTGCTTTTAGTAGAGACGGGTTTCACCATGGTGGCCAGGCTGGTCTCCAACTCCTGACCTCAAGTGATCCACCCGCCTTGCTGCTGGGGTTACAGGTGTGGGCCAACATACGCGGCCCAGTTTATATTTTTTAATAGAAAAAGCAAACCTGCTAATGGATGAATGCAAATTAAAAACATATTTTGGCAGCTGTGGTGATTTCCCTCTTATTTTTTTCTGTTATCTTTTAGAGCTGATGGTTTTATGGTGTTTTGGCAAATTTTTATCATTTGCCGTATCACCAGGAAGTTTTCTTTTCCAAAAATAGATTCTAGGATATGCTTGGCCAATAGGGTATATGGTGTTATAATGAGTTTACAGATGGTTTATTTGGGCTACAAAAGCAAAGAAAGTTGACTGATGAATACAACTTTAAATGCACTTTATGTGATGCTGTCTAATGAAGGTCTTCCATATTTTTGAAAAAATGTGTAGTATTTTACTTTTAAATGATCGGAATTTTAACTTTGACAAAAAAATCTTTTAAATAATGGGAATATTTAGTTTGTATTAAAATATTATTTAAATATTAAGAGGAATACAATTTTGTAAAACGTGAGAACAATGGAAGGAAAAACTTGAAAACATAAATTTTGCAGAAGATCATAGTTGCAGTTTATCAGAAGTGTTGCTTGAAGGGATATTTAGAAGCTTGAAGTAGGTGGATATTTCAAGGCTAACAGACTTTGGAATATGCATTAGCTCTTCTGCTTTAGATATGAATACAAGTAACTTTAGCAAACACAAAATATTTCATTGAAGAAAGAAATGAACTCAATGAGTCGATTAAAAGCATTAATGGAATTTTTTTTTAGCACTATATTGAGTGTGGTGGAATTATACCAAGGCTTTAGGCTGAGGCCGTTACCTTGTGTTTTGTTTATAAATAACAGTAATTAAGACAGTTTAGAATACTTGATAAGTATGGGCTAACAACAACAACAACAAAAATTGCTTTGTGCCTGGTGGTTTAGAGTGGATTTAGTTTCATCTTGATAGTTCTGTATGGTGGATTGAACACATGTTACCCATGTAACTGATGAGAACACTAAAATCAGGAGAAGGTAAAAGTCTAGAAATTGGCAGAACTAGAACCCTAATTGCCAACACCAGTAAAATAGTTTTTTCCCATTGCATAATTACTACTGTCTTTCTGACTTTCATTTAGTCTCGATAAGTAAAAACTTTGCAAGTCCACATTACATAAAAGAAGTGTCACTAGTGTCTAGCTCATATGAAATGCCCAGTGAATATCAGATGAATTTTTACCTTCTTCCAAAATGCACTTTAAAAAGGTAGAAAGAATCCATATGTAACAGCCCAGAGAGATCAACCCGTTGACCCTGGAATAGAGAGTGTGCAGTTAGAGACATCCATACTCTTTGAAGAAAGTTAGGGCATTTACCATGTGCCAAGGCTTGTGCTAGGTGCTGTAAATACATACGTAGATAAAACATGGGCTTTGTCCTACAATGTAGGCAGATCAAGAAAGAAGCAGGATAGCTAAGCCGAAAGGCAAGCCCAAGCTGATAGATTCTGGATTAGTTTATTTCTTTTAGATCTTTAATGTGCCTAGAAGGTACCCTGGATATTTTTAGATTTATGCCGTAGTCTCTTTGGAGTACTTTTAATCTTACTAGAAAAACTTTTCCTATTTAGGTATGTAGTTTCGTAAGTTTTTTCTTTCAAAAACTTTTTGCACATTTTTTTAATCTTAAATGTGTATAATACATTTTAAACGCATTTCATTTTATGTTTCCAACCAACACACAGATAGGTATTTATGATATTGACGTGTGATTTATTTTTATCTTTTTATTTCTGTGACTCTTTAAGTTTTCAAAGAAACACAACTGAAGATCGTTAGAAAATAAGCATTGTTTTGCAAAAGCTCGCTTTAATGGGCATTGTTTACAAATATATTATTCTGATAAAAGTGGGTATACTTGTATGGAAACTTTTAAATTCATTCTTTTTTTTTTTTTTTTTTTAGTGACCTGTTTTGTCTTTTACTTAGTTCTTTTTCTTCTAGCCAAAACTAGCATTCCATTAGTCCATAACTTATGTTTTTAGCACGATTATGTGTCCTTTTATATTTTTATCCATGTTCTTAAGCGTTAGGAACACATACACAGTTTTTAGTCACTGCTTACAAAAATGGAAGGAGTTTTTTTGAAACTCTTTTATCTTTTTTTGTTCAGTGCTGCCTAAGAGAAATCCTTCTCAGCTGCTACTGTTCTAATCAATTAAAAATTTGTTATATTGTATTCCAAGGAGTGGTTATTTCATAGTCTACTCACTCATTTATTAGAGGGAAATACTGTGTTTCCAGTTTTTGTCGCTTTTAAACTAATGATGTAATAAATAACTTTATGGGTATCTTCTGAGAGACCTAAAGAATAGATTCCCAGGGATAGGACCATCCATTCAAGATGTATCAATTTTCATAAATGTTGCCACATTGCTTTGACAAGGATATAGTAATTCATATTATTACCAGCAATGCAGGCAAATACGCTCTCCCCAATCACCATCAGTAATAGTTCATGTTTCCCAGTCTGATAATTGTGTGGTAATATCTTACTGTTACTGGAATTAGTATTTTCTGATTGTTAGTGACTTTGAACATCTTTTGTGATGTTTGTAGGAAAATTAGAATTATTCTAAGAATTGTCCTTTCATATTCTTTGCCCATTTAAAAAAATTGGTTATTGTCCTTTTGTGGGAATTCATTTTATATTAAAGCCACTAACCATCTGCCTGACATCTCCATTGCAAGTAATTTTTTTCATAAGCTGATCTTTTATCTCTTGCCTGTTCAAGAAGTATCTTTTGAATACAACCTTTAAAATATATAAGCAATTCCTTCTCTTTCTCTCTGGTGTCCTGTTTTAAGGTTTTCTCCATTGATAAAGTAGGCATGTAATCTCCTCACTAGATTTAATTTTCCCCCCCATTTTTGTCTTTAATCTATTTGGAATTTATTGTTGTATATGGTATAAGAGAGGGAGTCTACTTTTTAATTTCAGAGCATAGACATACCATTGTATCAGCAGCAATTTTGAGGTAGTCTTTTTCTTTTTCCAGAGAATATAAATTTCACATTTGTCATGTAATGTTTTCATATATCCAGTAGTACCTGGATTTCTTTATAAATTTTCTTAGGTATTCTAATACTTGCAACTAGCATTCATATGTGAGGAATATTTTATCCATCATCACACCTCTCCTGGGATAAAAAAATTCAAAAACCCTGTTGTGATTTTAATTGGGATTGCATTAAATTATATATATTCTTGGGATAATTAACATTTTAATGTTATTTGCAATGCATTATATTATCTCAATTCAAGAATGTAGATGTTTTTCATTTGCTCGTGTTTTATTTTTTATATTTCAAAAATATGCATTGCTTACATAAGCTTTGATCTTATGCATAGCTGGATTTGATTTTTAAGAGTGTTTTTGTTTGCTTGTTTGTTTTGTTTTGTTTAATGGGATAATGGTCATTAGCTTTTTTCTTTTCTTTTAATGTATTCATCTGATACTGGTTTCAGGGTATTCATAACGTCGTATAATGAGTTGGGAAGTTTTTCATTCTCTTCTATTTTTTGGAATACTTTGTGTAGAATTGGTACTATTTCTTCCATAAAAGTATGGGAGAATTTACTGGAGAATTCTATATTGTTCTATATTGTTACTGATTTTTTGACTCCTTATTCTGTCAGTTATTGGGAAAGTATTGAAGTACAGTTGTGAATTTCTGTAATTCTCTTTTCAGTGCTGTCAGTTTTTGCTTTATGTATTTTGAAACTCTGTTATTAGGTGTGTGCACATCAGGATTGTTGTGTTTTCTTAGTGAATTGACCTCTGTTCTTACCATCTCTAACTTTTATTTGGAGTGTTTTGGCAATTTAATGTAAAATACTTTTTGTATAATTGGGTTTCTGGAACTTGCTATTTGTTTTCTATTTTTCTCTTTTGTTCCCTCATAGTCACCTGTATCTTGCTCTATTTGGGCTTGATTATTTTTTAGTATTTTATATAATCTTCTTTATTGGCTTATTAGTTAATCTGTTTGTTTTGTATTTTTAGTAGTGACTCTAATATACATCATTAACTTCTCACAGCCTACCTTCAGGTAATACTTTACCTTACTGTATGATAGCAGAATCTTAGTATATTGCCATTTTTTTCTCTTTCATTGTTTGTGCTATTTTCTTCATATATTTTACTTATACATGTTATAGCCTATCCATCCTGGCTACTGTGTTTGCTTTAAATAATAAGTTACCTTTAATACAGATTCAATATCAGACAAAAATATGTTTTAAAATTCTTGCTCATATTTTTGCTAGTTCCAGGGTTTTTTTTATTTCTTTATGTAGATATGTTTTTATATAGTATCATATTAATTTTACCTAAATAAATTCTTTCTTTACCTAAATAATAATTTTTTATTTTTTATTTTTTTGAGACAGTCTCGCTCTGCCACCCAGGCTGGAGTGCAGTGACGCAGCCTCAGCTCACTGCAACCTCTGTCTCCTGAGTTCAAACAATTCTCATGGCTCACGCTCCTGAGTAGCTCCTGATAGGCGCCTGCCACCACGCCTAGCTAATTTTTGTATTTTTAGTAGAGACAGGGTTTCGCCATGTTGGCCTGGCTGGTCTTGAACTCCGGACCTCAGGTGATCCGCCCACCTTGGCCTCCCAAAGTGCTGGGATTACAGGCATGAGCCACTGTGCCTGGCCTACTTAAATAATTTCTTGCAGTGCAATCTGCTGGGAATGACATTTCTCAGCTCTTGCTTGTGTAAAGGTATCTATATGCTTTGGTTTCTGAAGTGTTTTAGGTGGGTATTCAATTCTGGGTTGACAGTTTTCCACCATTACGTTAAAGATATTGCTCCAGTATCCTCTCATTTATATACTTCTGAAAAGATATCTTTTGAAATTCTTTTTTTTTTTGTCTATATGTAATGTTTCTTTTTTTTCTTTTCTTTGGCTGCCTTCAGGAGTTTTTTCTTTAACTTTGGTTTTCAGCAGTTTTACTATGATGCATATAGGTGTGTTATCATTTATAATTATCATGTGTTGGATTCTCTAAGCTGCTTTATTGTTTTTCTTAGTTTTTCAGAAATTTCTACCCATTACCTTTTCAGTGTTTCTATTGCTCTCCCTCCCTTCTCTTCTCTTTTCCCTTTGGACTATGTTGACAAGCGCATTAGACTACTTGGTATTGCCCCACAAGTCTTGAATCTTCTGCACCTCTCCCCCATCTATTCAAGTTTTAGTCTGAATAATTTGTATTGATCTGTCCTCAAGTTTCCTAATTCTTCCTGCTGTGTCAGGTCTGTTGTTAGCTCAGTGAAAGAATTCTTAATTTTTCATAGAAGTTATTTGCCTAGCATTTTTTATGACCCCTTTGCTTAATTTCTCTGTTCATGCATGTTCTACCCTTTCCTCTAGATTCTTTTACATCTTATATTTATTTTGCAACTCTCAATTTGTTAGTTTCAGTATCTCTGCTATCTCAGGGTCTGCTTGTGTTGACAGGTTTATCTGTTGACAGTGGGTAGTTTCTTGCTTTGTTTTTCTGTCTTGTCTTTTTTTTTTTTTGCGATAAGAGTCTCGCTGTGTCACCCAGGCTGGAGTGCAGTGGTGTGATCTTGGCTCACTGCAGCCTCCGCCTCCCAAGTTCAAGTGATTCTCTGCCTCAGCCTCCCAAGTATCTGGGATTACAGGCACGTGCCACCACACCTGGATAATTTTTGTATTTTTAGTAAAAATGGGGTTTTGCCATGTTGGCCAGGTGGGTCTTGAACACTTGGCCTCAGGTGATCTGCCTGCCTTGGCCTCCCAAGTTACTGGGTTTACAGACATGAGCCATTGTGCCCTGCCCTTGTAATTTTTGATTGACTTCCTGCCATTATATATAAGAGAACAGTAGATACTGAGATAAATAATTATTATGGTAAGAAGTTGATGTATTATTATTGTCTTCCTTTTATTTGTTTCTTTTTCTCCTTTAGTTTTCTCTTCACGTGTTTGGTCTCCTGGATCTTTCAAGTACTACATCTTTTCTTTCATTATTTTTTCTCTTTGTAGTCTTTGTTCTTGGGAAGAGGTCTGTGTTTGTGTGTGCACATGAGCATGTGCAGCTTCCTATCTTAACAGACTTGCACCCTCTTACAATTAAGATGTTGGAAAGGTTGATTTGTAAATTGGGTTTTGGCGGGGGTGATAATATATCACAGGGACTGGTTTAATTCCATTTTCGTATCAGTTTTGAAACTTTTTGACCATAATTTAATAAATGTAATGTGAGAGTGCATTTCTCTTTCATTGCCTCCACCTACCAGCCTTTGCAACTGAGTCAGCCACTTTGTCCTTCATTCTCTTATCTACCAGGAAATAGATTAACATAATGTATGGAAAGTCACACCATTCAGAGGAAACCAGATTTCCTTTACAACATAACTAATAAAGCACTTAAAAAGTTTTTTGTGTTTTTGATGCGTAAGAATTTTATTTAACAATGTAACAAACTTTGCAAAGTTCATTAAGCATTGTGAGACGTGTGGCTTTTATTTAAAGAAGGTTGACTAAATCATAGACATTTAAAAGATTTTGAAATATCTCTTTTATTATGAGAAATTTTAAACATATACAAAAGTAGTGAGAATAGTATAAGAAACCCTCATGCACCCAGACTTAACCTTAACAATTCTCAACATTTTGCCATCTTGTTTCATAAATCTCTGGCCTCACTCACCCTGAACAACTAATTTCAGACATATAATTTTACCCATAAATACTTTAATATATTTGTCTAGCAGATAAGGACTTCAAAAAGCACATACACACACATACAAAAACTAACAATGTGTAATGACACTTAGTAGAATTACCATGGCGTTGTTTATCAAGACCAGGAAACCAACATTGGTAGGTTATTGTTGTTTGGATCTCACTGGCTTTTCCATTAATGTCTACTTTCTCTTTTAGGATACAAACAAGTACCATATTGCTTTGAGTTGTTACACCTGTTAAGTTTTCTGTTTTGTGGCAGTTTCTTAGTCTCTCTTTTTATTTCATGACCTTAAGAATTTTAAGGAGTACTGGTCAGGTATTTTATAGGACGTCCTTCAGTTTTGGTTCATCTGATGCTTTTCTCATGGTTAGACTGGCTTAGGGGGTATTGGAAAACAATATCACATAGGTGACGAACCCTTCTCAGTGTATCACATCGGGGTATCATTGTATCATATCATGATATCCACAAGATACCACTGATGATCTTAACCTTAATTACTTGGTTAAAGTGGTATTTGCCAAGCTTCTCTACTGTAATTTTTTTCCATTTCCTTACTCTGTTCTGTGGAAGTGAGTCACTAAGTCTTGCCTACTCTTAAGGAATAACTACATATCATGTTTAGAATTCTATAGATTATTTTGTTCTCCCCCATTTATTTTTAAATTTATATTGGCATGGGTACATGCGTATATATCTTACATGTGGAGTCATAAGCTAATACTGTGTTAGTCTCTTATTTAGATTTTTCTGGTTTTGACCAAAGACCACTTTCAGATTTGCTCTTGTGGCCCAGTGACATCCCCTTGTCCTTTTGTTTTTGAATACTTTGTTAACTTTCTGGTATTACAGGATACTCCAGGCTCATCTCATATTTTCCCTGCCACAGCTACCAAATCAGCCAATCCTTCAAGGGTCTCTCATTTCATTGTAGAATGATATCTAGAAACCATGGACTGGGTGCTGAGTGTTCTTTTTGCTACCAGGGTAGATGCTGTTCTAATTGTGAATCAAGTTGATCAGAATCAGTCTTTCTTTAAACCTTATTTTTTTAATAAACTGATAAATAGAGGAAATACCAATAATTCTGTTTGAAATTATTACATTATTTTGGCTAATTGACTGGAATTTTCATAACTTATGTTGCGATAAGAGTAGAGAAAATAGATTTTTTACCAAATCTTGCAGCAAGTTGATTGACATTTTTCTTACGTTTGCTCTTGGCTAACTTTTCATTATCTTGGTTCCCTGGTATGGTGGGATATTAGGGATGTTTTATTTGAAGAGTTTGAGTCTATGGATACATTATATTGCCAGCATTATTTTATAATCTGCTAGATAGTACTATATTAATAGTTAATTGGTCCCTTCAGTTAATAATGTAAACCTTGAATAGAACAATTATTTCAGGCCTAATTATAGTTTATAGAAGTTTTGAAATTTCTATCCTAGTTTCCAACCCTAATTTGAAGATCATAGCAGTCTTTGATCTTTGTAAGATTAAAATACTTTCTGAAAAGTTCTGCTATGACATCTTAAACTGTGTCTAGGAAACAATCATAGCCATGGGAATCAACTTATTCTCAGTGAATGTTCATGATGTGCAAGGGATTGTGTTTCAAATGAAAGCCTAAAATCTTGAGAGGTAAGGCTTTAAACACTTAAATTTCCTGTAAGGATAAATTCTTAGTAGTTTGGCTTTCTACCATTCATGTAAAACTACACGTGCTGTAAAATGTTCATGGCCACGTATAAAGAATTTAAAGAAATTGAAACTTCACTTAAAGCAGGTTCCCACTCGATGTGAATAAGAGTGTTTCTTTGTGAGGAAGAAAATATATCTCTGGCCTTTTTTCCCTAGGAGCAAAGAAATGGTCTCCAGTGATCTGTCATTGGGCATTGTGTTAAGTAATCCTTAGTAATTTCTTAGTAAAAAAAATGCTGGTGAAGCTTTCTGGCTATGCCTCAGTGGTTCCTTTTCAAAGAGGATATTAGCAGAGAAGGGAAGAAATTAAGTTTTCCTGTTTCCACTTTTCCTCATTTTTGGGTTTATCTATAAGTTTATTTCATGTGGGTGTAAGGTAAGAAAACTGAGCACATGTTTACTGTATGGCAGCGATAGAGTGTGGAATGGTAAATCTCAGTAAGATATACCCACGTGTGAATCCTGGGAATATGTGAATATTGCCTTGTTTGGAAGGTGGTTTTTGCACGTGTAATTATGTTAAAGATGTGAGATGAGAACATCCTGGATTTCTCAGGTAAGCTCTAAATTCAGTGACAAGTGTCCTTACAAGCGTCAGAGGAGGAGAAGGCAATAAGAATACAGAGGCAGGGGTTGTAAGGATGTGGCTACAAGCCAAGGAATACCAACTAGTGCCAGCAGCCACCAGAGGTTGCAAGAGGCAAGGAAAAGATTTTTTTTTTTTTTTTTTGTCAGAGTTTTACTCTGTCGCCCAGGCTGGAGTACAGTGGCATGATCTTGACTCACTGCAACCTCTGTCCCCCAGGTTCAAGTGATTCTCCTTCCTCAGCCTCCCGAATAGCTGGGATTATAGGTACCTGCCATCACGCCTGGCTAATTTTTGTATTTTTAGTAGAGACAGGGTTTCACCCTGTTGACCAGGCTGGTCTCGAACTCCTGACTTCAGGTGATCCACCTGCTTCAGCCTCCCAAAGTGCTGGGATTACAGGAGTGAACCACCATGCCCGGTGGAAAAGATTCTTTTCTAGAGCCTTTGAAGGAGTTATGGCCTTGCTTTTCCCCTTCTCTACAACTGTGAGAGAATAATTTCTGTTGTTAGTCATCAGGTTTGTGGAAAATTGTTAGGGCAGCCACAGGAAATTAATCAGCTCACTATGGGCAATGTATTATGTGAAATGTTAGTGGTTATAAGGTCTTTGCTACCAGGAATTCAAAAATCTTTGAAAAGTAAACAAAAATATAATACAGTATTACAAGTTCTATAAAAAATAATTGTACAGAAAGTTCTGAAAGCTTTGAAGGGGATAACTAACTTTGTTAATTTGGAGGATTTAGAACAGTGGTCCCCAAACCCTTTTGGCACCAGGGCTGGTTTCATGGAAGGCAATTTTCCCACAGACTGGGAAAGAGTGGGAATGGTTTCTACCTTAGATCGTCAGGCATTAGATTCTCATAAGGAACATGCAACCTAGATCCTTCTCATGCACAGTTCACAGGTACTGGTCCATGGCCCCGGGGGTTGGGGCCCCATGATTTAGAGTATTCATTGAGAAAGAAGCATTTCTTCTGTGTTTGAATGACGTGTAAGACTATTTCTGGCAAAAAGGGAGTGGAGGATTAGAGGGAGGGGGACATGTGTATGAAATAGCACGTTATGCTCCTTTAAACCCCATCTGTGAGATGAACACCCATCTAAAACTTCAGTATTTTCAAGTATTGAGGGTAGATCAATTTCTGGAACCCACGTTGACAACTTGATGCTGCCATATCTCAGATTTTAATAGTGTGTCTCTGCTGTAAATATTATTAAAGATATTTTAAAAATTGCCTTTCATTCATACTTCATCCATTAATCTTCTGACTCAATCTCTTTGGCAGCTTAGAGTGTAGTATGATGTCAGTGACCCACATATAAGACCTTAATTATAGGCATACCTCAGAGATACTGTAGGTTTGGTTCTAGACCACTACAATAAAGCAAATATCTCAATAAAGCAAGTCACTAGAATTTTGTTTATTTCCCCAAAGCATAATAGTTATGTTTACATTATAATGACCTATTAAGCACAAAATAGCATTGTGATGAAAAAAAACCTACATGCCTTAAATTAATAATACTTCATTGCTAAAAAATGCTAACATTCTTTTGAACTTTAAATGAGTCATAATCTTTTTGCTGGTGGAGGGTCTTGCTTGGATGTTGATGGCTGCTGACTGATCGGGGTGGTGGTTCTGAAGGTTGGGGTGGCCATGGCAGTTCATCAGTGTTCACAGCATCTTCACCAGGAGTAGATTCCAACTCAAGAAACCACTTACTTTGTTTGTAAGAAGCAACTCCTCATCCATGAAAGTTTTATTGTGAGATTGCAGCAATTAAGTCACATTTTCAGGCTCTACTTCTAATTCTATTTCTCTTGCTGTTTCTACCACATCTTCAGTTACTTATTCCACTGAACTCTTGAACTTCTCCAAGTCATCCGTGAGGGTTGGAATCAGCTTCTTCTAAACTCCTTCTAATGTTGATATTTTGACCTCCTTGCATAAATCACAAATATTCTTAGGACATCTAGAATGATGAATCAGTTCCAGAAGGTTTTCAATTTACTTTGCCCAGATCCATCAGAGGAGCCACTATCTATGGCAAGTATATCTTTACATAACGTGTTTCTTAAATAATAAGGAAAGTTGAGGTAACTCCTTGATCCTTGGGCTGCAGAAAGGATGTTGTGTTAGGCATGAAAACAGCTTTAATCTAGTTCTACATACGTCTGTGTCAGAGCTCTTGGGTGACTAGGTGCATTGTCAACGAGCAGTAATATTTTGAAAGGAATCTTTTCTGAGCAGTACATCTCAATAGTAAGTTTGAAGTATTTAATAAACCATGCTGTAAGTAGATGTGCCATTATCCAGGCTTTGTTGTTCCATTTATAAAGCACAGGCAGGGTAGATTTAGCATAATTTTTCAGAATAGTGAGTGAGCATTGGCTTCAATTTAAAGTCACCAGATACATTATTCCCTAACAGTCAGCCTGTGCTTTGAGATTGTAAAGCCAGTCATTGACTTCTCCTCTCTAACTATATGAAAGTCCTCCATGGCGTCTTCTTGCGATAGGTTGCTGTTTTGTCTACATTGAAAATCTGTTTGTTTGTTTTTGTTTTTTAGTATATTCACCTTCATCAGTGATTTTAGCTAGATCTTCCGGATAACTTGTTGCAGCTTCCCCATCAGCATTTGCTGCCTCACCTTCTACCTTTATGTTATGCAGATGGCTTCTTTTCTTAAACCTCATGAACCAAACTCTTCCGGCTTCCAACGCAACTTTCTCACCTCCCTTGGTCTTTGCAAAATTAAAGAGAGTTAGGAGCTTGACCTGGATTAGGCTTTGGTTTAAGGGAATGTTGTGGCTGGTTTGAGCTTCTATCCAGACCACTCAGATTTTCTCCGTCATTAGCATTAAAGCTGTTTCGTTTTCTTATTCATGTTTTTGATGGAGTAACACTTTCAATTTTCTTCTGGAACTTTTGCTTGGCATTCACAACTTGGCTCTTTGGCACAAGAGGCCTGGCTTTCGGTCTGTCTGCTTTCATCCTGCCTCCCTCATTAAACTTACTCATTTCTAGTGTTGATTTAAAGTAAGAGACAGGTGATGCTTTCTTTTACTTGAACACTTAGAGGCCTTTGAGGTTTATTAATTGGCCCAATTTTAGTGTTGTTAAGTCTCCGGGAGAGAGATGAAGGAATTGCCAGTTGGTGGAGCAGTAAGAACACACACAACATCTATTTATCAAGTTCACTGTCTTAGAAGGTCAGGGTTTGTGTTGCCCCGAAGCCAGTCCCAATAGTAACATCAAAGATCACAGGTCACCAATACAGATGCAATAATAGAAAAGTCTGAAACATTGCAAGAATTACCAAAATGTGACACATGCTGTTGGAAAAATGGCACTAACAGACATGCTCGACTCAACATTGCCAAAAACTTTTAATTTGTAAAAAAACAAATCAAAACAAAACACACACACACACACACACACACACACACAGACAATATCTGCAAAGTGCAGTAAAATGGAATGTAACAAAATAAGGCATGCCTGTATAAAGAACTTTTTATATTCTGACAGGGTCAGTAAACTTGCGTAAGGGCCAGACAGTAATATTTTAGGCTTTTCTAGCCACATAAGGTCACTGTCATGCATACATATCATACACACACACACACACACAGATGCACACACACACATAAACGTTTATTTAACAGCCCTTTAAAAATGTAAAAACTATTCTTTGGGAGCATGCCTTTCAAAAACAGGCCATGGCTCTGTTTGGTCCATAGGTCATTGTCCACTGACCCCTGTTCTATGGTAATAAGTTGGGTGTTCCTTTTTTCTTTTTGCAGAAGAGTCATGTATTTTTGCTATAAAGAACAGATATTAAATATGAATAACTTAAAATCTGAGCCAAAATATGATTGGTTGAAGCTTATGACTTTCTAGCCTTAAACAAATACTGAACAAATTTAGAAATAGCCAAAAAATGATCTAGTTTTCTGTAATATATTTGCCTTTTTTATAAGTGGAACTTTTAAAAACATATCTTTCACAGGTCTAAAAATAAAGAGGAAAACATCATCTTGAGGATTTCTTTAACTTCTTTAAAATAATACATTTCTGGTTTAGTAACTCATAGTACTTTTAAAAGACCTTTTTTCCCCATTGGCACAAATGTTTTTCAATGTGAGATGTTCTATTGAATTTTTAAAGACACTTAAACAAAAATGTGTTCTTTAGGGTGAATGATTAATTGGACTTTTCAGATTATCTTGTGAAAGAGTTTTGTTACTAGGTTGTGTTCTCCTTTTTCAGTCACAGCTCATGAAACATCCCCAAATGCTTGTAGCTTTAGAATTTTTCAGCAGGTTACATTAGAATTACTTTAAATTCTCTGAAGGTAAATTGATTATAGATATTTTAAAGATTTATTTAATTTTTTAAAAGAAGCCTCTTATAAGGTGATTCATTTTTGATGTCAACAAAACATACAAATTAGGTATTATAAGAACTTTATTGGTACCTTAAATGACAAGAATATTAAGAATATTTCAAAAGTTGTCTTATGATTCAAATTTTCTTTCAGGCTACAGTACAGTACCATCTGTTCTGTTTTTCCTTCACTGAGTACATCAAGTTCAAGTGAATCAATAAAATTTGCTAATGCAAAAGGTTAATTTTTGATATAACTTATATTATTCTTATTATTCTTACTTTTTTTTTTTTTTTGAGACATAGTCTTGCTCTGTCGCCCAGGCTGGAGTGCAATGGTGGGATCTTGGCTCACTGCAACCCCTGCCTCCTGGGTTCAAGCAGTTCTCCTGCCTCAGCCTCCTGAGTAGTTAGGATTACAGGCGCCCACCACCATGCCTGGCTAATTTTTGTATTTTTAGTGGAGACGGGGTTTCACCATGTTGGTCAGGCTGGTCTCGTACTCCTGACCTCAGGTGATCCGCCCACCTCAGCCTTCCAATGTAACTTATATTATTGAAGTCAATTTCAAATACACAACTAGAATACATCACGTCTTCTTGGGCTTCATGTAGTACTCATATCCTATTTGCAGATTACAAACCCTTGAGTTCTTATGTTTAATGTTGTTCTTATCTTTGCTGTATCTCTCACCTCAGTGCCCTCATTTGAGAACAGGGTCCCAAGTAAATTTAACTCAACCGAGACCAACCAGCTGTGATATGATTGGTGAAGTTGGCAAAAAAGAATTTAGAATCCATTTATTTCCAGGACCTGTTTAGTTGCTTACCCCTCTGAGCACTGTACTACCTGTAAAGTAGGAAAAATACCTGTTTTGCATTTGTTGGGAGGGTTACAGAAAAACTCTGTAGAAAGCATCATTTCAGTGTTTGGTATAAAGAAAGGCCAGTAAGATAGTAGATGGTATTGTTATTAGACACTGTTCCTACTCTCAATTCTAGAGGAAGAGACAGAATACATTGGGTTACTATTTGTTATTACAATCTATTGTTAGAACTGTAATTCTTGTAGCAGAGGGAGAGTAATGATAAAGCCATACCAGAGGTTCTAAGAATGATCTGTTGAGGACTGGCCTGTAAGCCACACGTTGATGGGTGGGTTGCATTTGACTGGGTGGAGAAAGAGGACGGGGCTGTCCAACATAGGAAGCAACTTGAGCTCTGGGCGAGGCAGGAAGTGTTGGGTGTGTATAGGGCAGAGGTCCACTCTGGCCAATTTAGCGTACAGAAATGCTTTCTTTGGAAATAGTGCTTTCAAAGACTTAAGCCTACAGAGAAACATGTGACATTTCACTTAAGAAAATCTAGATTTCCAAATTTTCTTGAAAAATTTGAAAATCTTGTAAGCATTGGCTAAAGTTTACTATCCTCTCTTAGTCCCACATCATTTCAATATTATACTTTTTCCTGTTTTTTTCCCCAAAAGTCTTAGCTATGATTCTCACTTCATTCTTCCATTTGACTTTCCTAATTATTTTGTTTCTCTAGAAATGTGATATATACTGCCAGTTTATTAAAAGCTTCTATGTTGCTTTTTAGTAAAAACGGATCGGTTTTCATAATTTCAGTTCTATAGATACTTGATAGTAGTTGCTGTTGTGAATGTTCCCCTTGCTCTTTATATTTCTTAAGTGGTCATTGTTGGTGTGTTCTTGTAGGAAATTTCCATTGGCTTGAACTAACATTTTATCATGTTAAAGAACTGTCTTTTTATTTTTATTTTACTAAGAATTACAATCAAGTATAGATTTACAATTTTATCAAATGCTTTTGGACATCTTACAATTTTCTTCTTTGAAATATTGATGATTTGACATCATGGTATGTTGCTTTTAACTAATACATGAGGAAGTTTCCCATCTTTTCCTGTGTTCTAGAGTACTTCTTACAGCATTCAAATAATCTGTTCTTTTAAAAATTATTACAAAATATATTATCTATTCTTCAAATGTTGGGAAACCTTATATATCTGTTAGCTTTTAAAAATAATCAATTACTTACTCCCCCCAGTGCTCCCTGCACTCCAGCAAAGCTGTTTTGCAGTGATTGATCCAGTTAGGTCTCTTATTTAAAAAAAAAAAAATTGACATTAACACTTACCTTCAATAATTTTCTAGCTACTTTTAAATTTAGTAGCAGAAATTTAAAGATAATATATGTTAAAAATTTCCATGTGGTAGTTAAAAGTGATTCTTAATTTCATATTTGTATTTTTATATCTTCAAAAACTAGTTGATGATTTATCTGTTTTATCAACTTTTTTTCAAATATTTGTGTTTATTACATTTTTGTTTTCGATTGCATTTTCTGTTTCTTTTTTTGAAGTGATTGGATTTTACACATTAATTTCTAGTTAGAAAATCTAACATGCCATTTCTGTGTTTTGGATTTTATGGAAAATTCTTTCTCATAAAATGAATGATTAATTTACATAAATTTTCACATATACTTGACCCTTGAACAATATGGATTTGAACTGTAGAGGTCTACTTATACATGGATTTTCTTCCACCTATGCTACCTTGGGACAAGACAAATTCTTCCTTTTCCTCTTCTTCCTCCTCCCCCTCCTCCTTAGCCTACTCAGTTTGAAGGCAATGAAGATGAAGATCTTTATGATGATTCACTTCCACTTAATCAATAGTAAATATGTTTTTTCTTACGATTTTTTAAATAACTTTTCTCTAGTTTACTTTATTATAAGAATATAGTGTTTAATACACGTAACATACATATAGCAGTGGTGTTAGTCAAGTGTTTATGTCATCAGTAAGGCTTAGGTCAATAGTCAGCTACTAGTATTTAAGGTTTTGGTGAGTCAAAAGATATACGTGGATTTTTGACTCCATGGGAGGTCAGCGCCCCAACTCCTATGACCCTCACCCCCCACATTCAAAGGTCAACTGTATGTTTGAAAATACAGGGTATTTGCTCTTCATATAAAATTTGATATAAATATGTTAACTTTTATTTCTTGCTCTTAAAGAGTTCCATTTAGATTCTTGAAGAAAAATAATATGTAAATGAACATATTTAGAGTTTTTGAAAGAGTTATACAGAAATTGGAGTGAGAATGAAGTGGTCATCTGAATTGCTAATAGTATTGAAAAAGTTTATCCAAAGAGACTCTAAGTAAACAAGAATGATATATGGTTTATTTAGACAAATTATTATTATTATTATTGCTATTGCAGAGAACATAGTCATATACTCAAAGAGATGAGGGACATATGTTAAAATAAATTTGAAAGAGCCTTTTAATGATCTCTATTGTGAGTTATAATACATTCACTTCCTTGTGTGGAAGATGAATAATGCCACAGTGAAGAAGTAAAGTAGTAAAAATAATGTGACTTAATAGTACATTGAAAACTTAGCCAGCATTTGCATGGAATGGAAATTAAAGGACCATATGTACAGTATATAAGCCTAATCTTTGTTACTAAGACAAATTGTCTAATGTCGTACCTCAAGACTAAATATTTTTGCTTTCACAGTTGCTTAAAACTTTGTAAAGATCAATTGTCTCGATCAGTTGTTGGCACTAGAATCTAAAGGTCATTTTCCACTTTGTGTTTCTTCTCTTTGCTCTTCATCGATTCCTGCTCTGACCCAGTTGAGGTGCACATTTTTTCCAGGATAGGGCAACCCTTAATGATTTGTCTTGGCTTCCCCTGATTTTTACTTTCTGCTATGTGGTTTATTTCTCTGCCTTTTATTTCAAGGATAGAGCCACCCTTAATGGTTTGTCTTGGCTTTCCCTGATTTCTAGTTTCTAATATGTAGTTTATTTCTCTGCCTTTTAGTCTTTATATTGGTTCACATGTGTGCGCATGCGCACAAATACACACACGGTGAGAGAGACCTCACATTTAAGTAAGTCCAACATACAATGATCTAAGAAAGTGAAGAGTTAACTTTCCTTTTTACTTTTATTTCTGTAGAGATATTGTTACCTTGAAATTCAACCTATTTCTTTATTTTAACTTAGTGACATTGCTGTTTCAAATTTTGGTTGGAGAGTTTGGAGTAGAATTGATTGCATAGGGACCCTACCCTAGAATAGTTAGAAACCGAACTGGGAATACATGTGTGCCTCCTAAAGGCATCTACTATGGTCTGTTGATGTCCCACCAAAATTCATTATGTTGAAACTTAATCTCCAATGCAATAGTATTAAAAAGTGGGGCATTTGGGAGCTTATTGGGTTATGGTGCTCCACCCTTGTGAATGGGATTAGTGCCCTTATAAAATAATTCAAGGGAGCACCCTAGCCCCCCACATCCCTTCCACCATGTGAAGACAAGCGCCATCTGTGGGGAATGGGCCTTCCTCAGACCCCAGATCTGCTGGTGCCTTGATCTTGGACTTCTGAGCTTCCAGAACTGTGATAAATAAACTTCTGTTGTTTATAGATTAACCAGTCTAAGGTGTTTTGTCATAGCAGCCCAAAAAATGTAAGACAGCATCTTTAATTTTTTTTTTTTCCTTTGAGCTCTTTTGAATTGGACCTGACTTTCTTACCAAGATTTTACCATCATAATATAGAGGAAGCATAAGAAAGTCTTTAATGAATTGTTTGGCTTGGCTGTGGGCAGATAGATTTGAGTTACTACACACCTTACTGTCTTTGCAAATAGAGTAAAATACCTAACAATAGTTGTGTTGGAGCAGGTGTCTAATGATCATCTGTTTAGCCCAGTGCAGTCATCTGTTTTCTAGGCAGTTACGTTTTGTTGAATATTATTAATTCATGGTCTTGATAATCCAGTGAAAATGCAGAATTCCTGTGAACACAGTTGTTTTAAGTATGCACTGATTTTTATCTCCAGAAAATAGCATTATTGCTTAGCAATAAGATGAATATTTTGAAAACATTCCAAGAAAATTTATACCTTGAAGTATAGTGTTGAGTAAAAGAAGTGGGAATTCAGTTACAAAGTTCCCCAGATTGGTCTGAATTTTATTATGGTAGAAACTATTAATTTCCTCTTGTAGTGAAGTATATTAATCACAATTTCACCAGTATTTAAAGTAATAAATGATGTTTTTAGATAATTAAATTTTAAATATTTGACACCACTTTTAGTGTCTAAGATATCCAGTTAAAAAATTGGTACAGACAGCTGTTGAATTACCTGTGTTATCAAAATGATCTCAAATACCAATTTGGATGGGTACCTGTTTAAGGCTCTCCAAGCATTTCCTGTTTACAGGTAAAATATACATGGAGCCTTTAATAGACAGTAGGCATCAAATGTGATTATGAAATATAATTGACTGAGAGTGTCTTGAGGACAGTCACAGTGCTTTATAAATAGCCTTGAATTCCCACTTAATGTGGTATAAGCTATATAGGGGAAGGGCTCAATTAAGTTGGTGAAGTTCAATTACACCATTTCTTTTTAAAGCTGACAAGAAATTGCCATGTCATTGCTACCTTAATTTCATTACAATAAGAGGTGACACTAAGAATATCAGTGGCCATGCTGAAGTCTCCTCCTGATACTATCATGGTGTGAAAGACATCTTTTTCCACTCACTTTACAAAAGCCATTTTCTTCTTCTCCTTTGGAGAGAATTAGGCATAGTACATATTAATTTTTTCTTTTATTTTCAGTGCTTGAGTGTTGAATTATTTGAACAAGCACTTTATCCTTTCATGGGAAAGGTCCTCCATCAGATGTTCTGCTTAGGTTAACACATCCAGGTTGGAAGCCAAATAATGCCATTTCTCCTACTTGTTCAGTGAATCCAAGAATTCAGCCTGTGCATCCCATTACCTATGAATTTACACTTTTAACAAAGATCTTTTCCCCTCTTCTCTACCCGTCTATGCCCTTGCTTACCTTTTCAGGATTATTATTATTATTGTTGTTGTTTGCTTTTTGGAAAAACCTACAATAATGTCAAATTATTCTGTGTATGATGCTTTTAATTATACTATTTAAAATATGATAATGGTTATTTTTCTTTGATTTTCCATTTTCCTTCACTATACAGATTAATATTTTTTAAAAATTTATTTAAAGAAATAGTCTACAATCAAGTTAGGGATATTTAGGGACAAAACCCAGTCTGTTTTGAAGATATAAAACTCATATATTTGTATTGCTAGAAAATACTGCTATTTTAAGAATTCTGAAATTGCTAAGTCAATATTTCCTTTGACAGTGTGTCTCCAGATCTTTCTTATAGACCGTCATGTCTGCATAATTGTTTCCAACTTAAGAGGTTTATAAATAGTCATCCAATAAACCCTGTTTTATTTACTAAAAGAACAGATCTTTCTTACCAGCTGTGAAACAGTCATTGACTTCTGCTGTACTTGGCCCTGGGGATGTACTGAATGTAATGGTGACCCAACTCCCTGTGGACTCTGCAGCTTATGATCTTAAAAAAAGAGATGCCAACAAATAATTTTTGAAGTTAATATAGGTGGGTAAAAAGCTGTAGAGGAGAAGTGTACAGGCCCACTTATACATCGCGGGGGAGGGGGGAACCTAACCCAATTTTGGTAATGATTACTAGTTTAAGTTTCAAGTATGAGAGCCTATGCCCTCCATATTTTATCTCCTGGTCACCACTCTTTATTGGTTTGCTATTGTGATTCTCTTTTCCCCTGCTGTTCTGTTGCTTCTTAAAATAAATATAATGAATTTAGAAGTTGTCAGATTTAATTTGGAGCACTATATGTATATTTATGAAGTCATATACTAAACTAGGAAAAAGTTTTCTTGATAGAACATTATTGACTCAGGAAATTGTATACTATCTCAAGCGATATTATATTTTCAGTCTGTTACATTGGGCAATGGGAGTACCATTAACAGAAAATAAGAAAGCTGAGAGAAATGTGAGGGAGCAGGAGAAAAATACAGTGAACAGTCACATCTGAATTGATCAAGAAAGTGGGTCCAGGTTATTCAAAACTTTGGTTTTTGACTGAAACTCTGTGTTTTGAAGGACAGTCTTTAATGATTCATAGAACATGCAAGTTAAGTTTTACTGCCTTATGCATCTTTATGAATCTCAGTTTATGTGAATGTGCAGAAATGTCGAGCTGTACAGTTACGGTTGAATAAATGTCAGATAACACAGTGCATGAGTTTAATCATTCACTAAATATCTCTGTTTCCACAGAGGAATAACGGTGCACTACTCAAAACTGTCTAGAAATAAAATATACAAATCATTGAAACAATATACTAAAAACATGTTCAAATGTGATGACTCACAAGTCCCCAAAACACCTTATCTGGGATACTTCCTAATCTGTACATGCTTCTCTATTGTTGCATGGGATGTGTGTTTGTGTGTGTATTTTAATACAGGATAAAATTTTATAACCCATTATTCCCAGTGGAAAAATTAAGGGTAATTATTTCCATGGGAAAAATTATTCTTATCTTTCTAGTATTACATTTGCTTTTCAGGATCTATTACAATATCAGGCTTTACTTAACCCCATAGACTTCTAACAAAACTTATCATTTGTTTCTCAATTACTTTGTAAACTGATGCTATAATAAAGTAGGTCCCATGTTGTCATGACAAGTTTTTATGTATAATCTTTGTACTTCATTTGATAGTATTGTAATAGATCAAGCCATTTGAAATTAGGCATAGTTGAATTACGTCTCATCAGTACATATTCATAGTGACCTGGAAGTTGTCTTTTTAGTTTGGGATCATCTCAAAGAAAATGAAACATTTCCTTAATTTTGGTTGTTTATGTTTTTCCCTCAAAAAGATCAGTATAGTTAAATACAAATAGCACATTGTTGTATAGCCAAACAGCTCCAACCGAAGATATGGAGTTTGCGCTTCAGAATTCGCTGGGGGGTGTGCTTAGGCTACTTTTAGGAGAATATTAGTGACTGCCAGTGGGCAACATATCCCTGCTCCTGTGACCCGCTCTGCTGTGTTAGATTTAGAGTACCTTTGAGGGCATTTTCCGTGCTGCACTGCTGATGATATTTCTTGGCAGCTGGACTAACATCTTTGAACACACACATTTTTGAAGATCAAATCATTGTTTTAATTTGCCACCATGAGACAGCTTCAAATGATCAGCTACAAGGATACTCCTATTTTAAGAAATGTTTTAATTATGGAAATTTTTCAACAGCTGGGATGAAATTGTAAAGTGTCCTACAGTTAGTTTCGGGATACAAATTTTAGAAATAATAATGTTTAAAATTACTTATAAATAATTTTAAATGTATAGCAAGTTGTGTGAGCAGCACACGTTTCGCATTTCATCATGTTTGCTCCATCACATACCCCTCTCTCCCATTATCATTGGTCTTTTAATGAAACATTTGAGAACAGGCTTTAGCCATGATGCCTGTCATCCATAAATACTTTAGAGTGTGTTACTGCCCCCCTCAAAAAAACAGGTGAATAGAGTTCCAAGGGAGGAAGTCCATGTTGATATGACACAACCATCCAATCCATAAAACCTACTTAGATTTCAACAACTGTCCTAAAGCTGTCTCTTTGCTCTTATGGTGGTGAACTCATGCAATAATTATATCACAGTCAGTGGTGACGTCTTTTCATACTCACCAATCTGGAACATTTCCTCAGTCATTCCCTGTCATGTCCTCCACAGTTTTTAAGTGTGCAGGTCTGAGATCCTGCTGTAGGATGACCCTCAGCCAGTGATGATGTTGGAGTTTTTTTTTTTTGAGACAGAGTTTCACTATGTTGCCCAGGCTGGAGTGCAGTGGTGCGATCTCAGCTCACTGCAACCCCCCACCTCCCAGGTGCAAGCGATTCTCCTGCCTCAGCCTCCTGAGTAGCTGGGATTACAGGCACCTGCCAAAATGCCTGGCTAATTTTGTATTTTTAGTAGAGACAGGGTTTCTCCAGGTTGGCCAGGCTGGTCACAAACTCCTACCCTCAGGTGATCCGCTCGCCTCAGCCTCCCAAAGTGCTGGGATTACAGGTATGAGCCACTGCGCCCAGCCAATGATGTTAATTTTTGATCATCTGTTTCTGTTAGTGTCTGATAGCTTTCCCTTCCACAAAGGCACCATTTTCCCCTTTGTAATTGTTTAGTGCTATCAGGAGTTAAGCACTTAGTGTTAAGATTACACCAATATCCATCTTTCCCTCATCAAAGCTCCATCCATCAGGCATATTCTTTTTTTTTTTTTCTTTTTTTTGAGATGGAGTCTTGCTCTGTCACCCAGGTTAGAGTGCAGTGGTGCAATCTTGGCTCACTGCTACCTCTGCCTCCTGGGTTCAAGCGATTCTCCTGCCTCAGCTTCCCGAGTAGCTGGAATTACAGGCATCTGCCACCATGCCTGGCTACTGTTTGTATTTTTAGTAGAGACAGGGTTTCACCATCTTGGCCAGGCTGGTCCCGAACTCCTGACCTTGTGATCCGCCCGTCTCGGCCTCCCAAAGTGCTGGGATTACAGGTGTGAGCCACTGTGCCTGGCCTCCATCAGGCATATTCTTTATTGAGTTACCCTGCCTAAACCAGCCACCACAGTGATCGTTGCCAAATGGTGATTTTCATTTTCTGCTATTCTTTCTACTGGTAATCTGCTTTATGGAAGAGTTCTCCCTTTTTCCCCATTTACTGATGTTTTTCATATATTATGTCACAGATTCCTAGTTTACTTGGTGGGTTATAACCCATTACTGTCTCTATTTTGATGCTCATATTGTCCTATATTTGGTGAATGCAAGCCACGGTGGCTCTTGTGTCTCTTAGACACATCCTGATTAGTCTTTCAGCACTTCCTTATTTTATGGCACAATAAGCAGTTCCAGGCTCATCTTGTATTTTCTCTGCCCTGTCCTCCTGATAAGCCATTTCTCCAGTTAACCCTGGTTCCTTCAGTGGAGAGTGGTATTTAGAAACTATAATCTTAGCTTTCTGAGTGCTCATTGATCCTGAGTCCTCTTGGTGGACAGCTGGGAAATATGTGTATGTCTATGTGGGGAAGTTTAAACTTTCCCTCTGAAGAGTTGATCTTGAGTCTGCTGGAATAAGATGACAGAAGACAGATTAACAGGAGAAAAGGCATACAAGTTATTCATGTGCAAGCGCATGGGAATTACACAAAGTAGGAAACTCAAAGAAGTGCTTGAATACCCTCTTCACAGGGGAGAGGAGAAAGTGAGGGATGTAGGCAATTTTGGAGGAAGAGTAAATCATCTTTAGGGGAGGTGAATAGGTCCAGAAAATGGACAGTAGTCTGGTACAGAGCTCCTCGTGGCTTGCAGGGAGGTGGCAACAGACTATAGGAAGGTAAGGGGAAGACATATTCTGGGAACAAAAGTTGTCTTATATGCAGATGAAGCCTGTCAGTAATAGCACTCAGAATAGATGAAAATTCTCTCTGGGTGGGTGTGGTGATGGCCTTCAGATTCTTCTTTGGTGATTAATTTTCCCTGGTTGATGAGATTTCTGACAGGGAGCTGAAGGCAATTTTTTTTCTTTTGAAAGAACTTTTCTCAGATGAGGAAACTTCAGAGAGATCCCCTCCATGGGCTAGGTTGAAAAACAAGGGAAGGTCGGACTTTGATTCTGAGGCAGTTTCTAAGGTCTCCCAATTTCCCTTAATTCACAGTGCTTAGCATGTGCAAGTGCTATACTTTGGAGTATCATTTAATGATTCAATGGCATGTACACATACATTTTTATGTACACACTCCATAAATACATACACTTATAGCAGTGTTTATGTCTATGTTTATATACATATATTTGAGGTGTTTATATCTATGTTTATACATATATATATATATATTTGAGATGGACTCTTGCTCTGTCACCCTGGCTGGAGTGCAGTGGCATGATCTTGGCTCACTGCAACTCTGTCTCCTGGGTTCAACTGATTCTCTTGTCTCAGCCTCCCAAGTAGCTGGGATTACAGGCGCCTGCCACCACACCTAGCTGATTTTTGTATTTTTAGTGGAAATGGGGTTTTGCCATGTTGGCCAGGCTTGCCTTGAATGCTTGACCTCAAGTGATCCACCCACCTTGGCCTCCCAGTGTGCTAGGATTACAGGCATGAAACACCGCACCCAGCTTCTGTGATTATATTTTTTAAAACTGGAAGTTCATACTTATTTTTCCAATTCCAGTGTAGCAGTTCAGGGTTCTCTGTAGCCTCCACCTATTCTGTTGGTAAATACCTGCTACTGTAGTAAGAAGCCTGGCTCTTGTTATCCTCAACATATTTATTTGCTTAATCATTTTACTTATTTTCCCTATCTCATCTGCCTGTTACCATCTCCTCTTCCTTCACCCCCACAACCCCTCTGTCCGTGGTCTCCAGCTGCCAGCTGCCAGCGTGCCTCCATGCTGCGTGCTCTCTCTCCCCTCCACACTCTGTGTACTTGGTGTCAGTGGACCTGCTTCCCTGTGTGTGTGCCCTTCTTTCCCATCAGCACTCCATGGCTCTGGGTGCTGCTGGGCACAAAATACAGGAATGTTTTATGGTTCAATTTGAAAAACTTATACCATTTTATACTTCAGTACTGTTTAGTATGTATTTCTATTTTCAGTTTAAATCAACACTTTTTTTTTAAATAAAAAGAATGTTTATCCTGTGTTGAAGCATCATGCTAGGTATACTACAGAAGTGGAGATAGACATGGTCTTCACCTCTACAGAGCCATGACTAGTGGGTGAAATAGCTGAATTATGTGTGAGGAATTTTATGAAATGGAAATAGCAGGGTGCTGTGGAAGTGCTTCCTTGGTACCCTGCATGTAGGTTTTCTTCCCATGCCTAGGAGCATCTTTGCTCTTAGGATTTACTGCATGAATTAATTGGTATTTCAGTTTGATTATATGTATGTGTCTAGGGACAAGCCTAGCTAAAGGAATGGCCCTGAGAGTTGCAGAATCTAAGAGAAGCACTTTGATTTGATGATTTTACATAGTGTTCTTCTCGTGGTTGGAGGGTGATAGCTCATGTTTCTGAGCAAAATGAGATTTATATTGTAAAGGGTTCATATGCTTGTGAAGGTTGATGTAGGGCAAAGTGCAAAGTGATTTTTCTTTTCTTCTTTTTAGAGACAGGGTCTCACTCTGTTGCCCAGGCTAGAGTGCAGTGGCCTTGATCTTAGCTCACTGCAGCCTCAATTGCTGGGCTCAGGTGATCTTCCCACCTCAGCCTCCCTAGTAGATGGGATCACAGGAGTGCACTACCATGCCCAGATAATTTTTAAATTTTTTATTCTTTGAGGTCTCACTATGTTGCCCAGACTGGTCTTGAACTACTGGCCTCAAGCGATCCTCCTGCCTTGGCCTCCCAAAGTGTTGAAGTTGCAGATGTGAGCCACCCCACCTGGTCCAAAGTGATTTTTCTAACCCCATTTATACAATGATAATGATGTATATATGTCCAGTAGCAAAAATGAGTCATAAAATAGCTCCTTCTAACCTTACAAAAGTAAGCGGAGTTTGTGTTATAAAATAAGACCCATGACATGTAACATACTAGCGTGGGAAGCATTTGAAAATACTGTGTTCCATGTGAATTTGTTTGCCAAAATATAAACCTGTTTATATTTTGAATGTAATTGCTTAATAATGGTTAAATGCTACATAAACTAGTTAGCAAAATATTTTCTAAAAAATGTTAAGCCTATTATGAACTCTTTGTACAAAAAGTTGAAAACAAAGCTTACCAAAGTCTGATTTGTATAATGGTTCTTTCTTGTCGTATTGGCTAAATATTTGGGAAGTATGCATTCCTGCTTTGTTGGAAAACCCATCTATGAGGTTTGATATAGCCATTCAATATTCAATATACATATCTCTAGGGCTCTAGGGTATTAGGCCTACAGAGTCATAGAGAATTGAAAGAACTTTAGAAATCATCTTCTACAGATAAAGGTAAAGTGACCTTCATTAGATCATAGAGCTTGAATTCTGTAGAGGTAGGAACCTGAATGAGAATTTAGCTCTCCACAAGGCTCTAAGTCAAAATCTGTACCAAAAGTCTTAGTGCTTCTGAATGTGGTGGTGGTGGTTAAAATTATCTTCATTATTGTATTTGATTAGCCTAGCCTAACATTTTGCAGTACCAGGCTTTTGTCAGGAGGTAAGCAGTATTGATAGTTAATAATTACCTGGACCATTTTTAGCACTTAATAAAAGTGCATGCAATGTTCTCACCTCAATGTGTAATTCAAGATTCTAAGCAGTGAGTTCAGCATCAGCTGTGTATGATAAACAGAAAATCTGAATTGACTTTATTATTATGGCCGAAATGGTTACATTCCTGGGGTCAGGATTTCTGGGATTTTGTGAGAAGGTTAATGATACAGAAGGGTCAGCATATGGAAATTAAAGCTGCAGTTTCTAAATATCTATTTGATAGTCGAGGCTAGTAGTAGCCTGTAAAAATAAGATTAGCCAGTTGGTTGTTGCCATTTTTTAGTCTCTCTTGTTTGATACATAAATATTCTTTCACAGAGTAGAAAATTGAATTCTGAATATCTGCATGGTGGGTCAGCAGATGTACCTATAAGTCAAAAGGAATATTTAAAAATATATATATTTGGAGGAGCAGTTTGTGGAGTTGGGGTCTGAAGTGTGGGGAAATTATGTGTTGCTGCTTTAGGAAAAAGTTGCTATGCCGTTGCAGACATTTAACTAATAAAAGCACATGAACATACACACACACACACACACACACAAATACATATATATATATGTATATAAAATTGTATTTTCAAGTATTCTGTGCAGTTAAATGTTTGGGAGGATACCTAAACGTGTGTTTAAAATATTGAGATGATGGTCTCCAGTGTCTGAATTTGGTAAAACAGTGAATCTCAGCAGCATATGAAGTCTTTGGATCTTTGGGCCAGGGTTGTATACCCTACAATTTACTGTGATTTAATAATGGATTTTAGAAATTCAAGACTGTTTTAATAAACTCTGTAGTCAAGTGTGTAATTCAACCATGTTGTGATTTGTGCATCAGTTTTCTTTCTGTATTTGATTGTTGATATGAAAGTCAGAGCAAGCTTAGGTAATGTGGTCCCAGCACAGATGTACAGTATAAAATGATCACATTTTCAGAGTTGAAAGGTCATGCACAGATGTTTGTAGAAATGACACTCATTAAACTTTCTAAGGATGCCATGTCCCTTTGTAACCCCTCTAAGATGGGAACTCAAAAAAGAAACCTTATACACTGGTCATAAAGTCCTTGAGAAACTACCTGTTTTGTTATCTTTAAACGTAGTTCTTGGAGATTCTTTAGAGACAAAATTAATCCTGAACTTGGTATTTTGTATTTCTTTTTAAATTGTATTCATATACTGCAACGTGAGCTAGGTCTTTTCTCCTTATTAAGACTTGGAAACTGTAGTTCAGAGAGGTGAAGTAATTTTAATTTACCCAAGGGGAAAAAAATTTGGAATTTGAACTTGGAAGTGTCTGACCTGATGTTTCTAACAAATCCAGGCTTTTAACTCCTTTGTTTCAAAATGTCATGCTCTGTGTTGAGCACATAATAAACTAGATTATAAACTGTTTTCCACCTTTTTGGAGCTCTCTGTGCAGGCATTTATTCTGTTAATTCTCTGTCACACCTGAGAAGGAGATGCAGTCTGAGAAATTGGCATTCTATGTATCTCCCTTCTCATTTCATTGTGATATTCAATGATACTAGAAGGTAATTTTTTTCTTCTAGTAAGCAGTAACCACGTTGTGAACCAAGGATAAAAGGAAAATGACACTGGTAGAGTTTTCTCGTCATAGGTATTACCTAGTTTCCTAGGAAACAGAAACATGATTTATGAATATTGATTTTCAAAAGCTTAAAAGAAACCCTAGGTTATTGTTTCTGCCATTAAAATAGTTTCTCTGAAGAGATCAACTTACGTAATTGAATCTCGACCACATTTTATTTAGTGTACATCTTGCATAGTAGATGATTCTGTGAGGTTTGAATTGAAGTTCATTGTGATTGTAATCTTTGGTCCCTGTCTTTGTTTTCTGTGCTGGAGAGAGAGGGGATTTCTTCCTGTAGTTATATGTGGTCTAGTTCACTTTTAGATTTTCTGGGCACCATGCTGAATATCAGTGAAAGGGGCAGTGGGTACAAAAGAAGGTAAAGATAATTTACGATGAAGCTTAGAGTTTAGTTAGAATGATGAACTCTTGTAGTCCATTTTGTGGAAAGCTTTTGGAATTGCTTGAACTTGGTACTTTTCAGTATCAGCAATTCAAATGGAAGTTTTCTGAGCTTTCTAACTAAAAGGGAAAGAGGAGAATCTTCAGAAAGAGCCTATGTGCACTCACCAGCAAATAATGTGATGGAGAACAACTGTTCTAGGTGTACTTAAGTTGAGGCTTTTCAGACCAAACCAGCTAACTTATGAAATGATGGAAAATGGTGGGGATCTAGGTGGAGAGACCACTACTTCTGTCAGACGATTCTACAAAGGGGTGAGAGATATAGGATGTGTGTTTCTATGTGGAACTGTTGGGTCCTTGATGTTATTGAAATACCTCAGTGAAGACAACCCTACACACCCCAACAATTCTGGGCTCAACAAATTTGGGGCTAGGGAGAGGTAGCTCCTCAGTATTCAAAATAGTAACCCAAATCACTAAGAAGGGTTTAAATTGTTTTAATTCAGTCTAGTCTTTGTAAGGAATTGAAATATGTAATGCCACACATAAACATTTCTCTTAAAAGTTACAATGAAAGGTGGAGCACAGTAGCTCATGCCTATAATTCCAACAATTTGGGAGGCTGAGGTGGGAGGATCACTTGAGTCCAGGAGTTTGAGACCAGCCTCAGCTATGCAGCAAGACCTTATCTCTATGTACACACACAAAATAAGCTGGGCATGGTGGTGCATGCCTGTAGTCCCAGCTATTTGGGAGGCTGAGGTGGGAGGATCGCTTGAGCCCAGGAGTTTGAGGCTGCAGTGAGCTATTATCACACCACTGCACTCCAGCCTGGATGACAGAGTGAGATCCTGTCTCCAAAAGGAAAAAAAAATACGATAAAAAAGGCACTACAAGTATTCACTGTAACAAAAACTGTACTGTCTCAGAGGTTTTATTCCTCGAGGATTCTAAAAAAGATGAGGTTTCACTGAATATAATTATATTGCTATAAACTTTTGAAATTTTATATCCAAAATCCCATGTGGGGGTTTTAATCATATCTTGAAAAAGACATGATCTGAAAAAAAGATGACTGATCTTTGTTTTGTCTGGAGACTTGAAAAATGTGAACTTTTCAGTCTGGAGGATATATGATCAGAGTCCATAAAATGCAGACTTTATTGTATCAAAACTCAGAAATCTTTATTAGAACTGAGTTTTCCCATGAAAATTGAAACACATTAACTATAAAACAAGTGAAAGGAAATAATACTACATACAATGTGTAGGATAACTGTAAAATATATTACTTACATGAGGCATTTTATACTGGAAATATGTAGTTTCAAAAATGCTTTACAAATGAAAGATGGATATAAAAGAGGCCAGGCGTGGTGGCTCACGCCTGTAATCTCAGCACTTTGGGAGGCTGAGGTGGGTGGATCACTTGAGGTCAGGAGTTCATAACCAGCCTGGCCAACGTGGCGAAACCCTGTTTCTACTAAAAATACAAAAATTAGCTGGGCGTGGTGGTGGGCACCTGTAGTTCTAGCTACCTGGGAGGTTGAGGCAGGAGAATCACTTGGACCTGGAAGGCGGAGGTTGCAGTGAGCCGAGGTGGGGCCGCTGCCCTCCAGTCTGGGCAACAGAGTGATACTCCATCTCAAAAAAAAAAAAAAGAAAAGATAGAAAAGCTTTTCTGGTTGTGGGGTGGAAAGGCATTTACTACCTCCTATGTGCCAGGCATTGTGATTGATCCTAGAGATTCCTGGCCCAGTTCTTTTGCATTTGAAACTCATGATCTAGTGAGAGTTGATAAGCCAAGTAGTAATCCATGGCAGGTTACATATCAAGAAAATGATGATATGTAAAGGAAAATGCACAGTGCTATGGAAGTCCATTATACCATGGATCATTTCTTCCCCTCCACAAATGCATATTCATATACTTTTTAAAGCCAAGAACTATTTTCTAAATTCCTGCAGAATGTAAATGTTATAGTTATTATTAATAAAAACCATCGTTCTTTGCTTTCTCGGCCACCAAGGGACGAAAGTATAGCTAATTCAAGTAGATAAATGAGATTTTAAACCTTTTCTACTGTGTCTGTATATATTTGTGCATGTATATGACAGATATTTATGAGCTTAGTCTATATATAAGGTAGAGGTGGGCACCTGTAGTCCTAGCTACTTTTGCCCATCTGAAATGGCTTTAAAATTATATACTTAGCATGTATCAAATATACTAATTTAAAGTGTTGAATACATGTTTGTGTTGTGTAAATATGAACTAGCTATTGTATTTTTTTTTTTGCATTTTACTGATACTCCTAATGAACTCTGAAATAGTTGGGAAAAATAGCCCTTTCCTAAGAAGGAATGACTTTCAAATGTTTGTGGTGAGTAACATGTTGAAGTCAGAGTGGTTGATTGCTATTTAAACCAAAGTAATGCTCATTTACATTAGTTTATATTTTTGTTTATTTTACTTACCTAGAGAAATGATCTGAGGTTTAATGTGTTGAATACAGGCTCTCTCACTATATATATTTATATATATATTTTTTTCTTTTTGGAGTCAATTCTTAACTATTTTCTTTTTAAATGTGATTATATATTTTGGAAAGCTTCAGAATCAGACATTTAGAGCTGGAATGTTCCTTAAAAATTCTTTTAGTCTGATTCCTTCAAGTTATTCACAGGCAAATGATAATGACCATCTTATGGTTATTTATAGTTTACAATGTTCTTTTTCATTAAAAGGAATTCCAGCTTTGCCCAATTCTATGAGCTCTGTATTTTAATTTTCTTATTCTTTATGCTATATTATTTTGAGTGGATGTGCTCACAATGTTGGAAATATGGAACGGAGATCAGGTAACACATTTGAGCTGGAAAAAGATCTGTCTAACATAAAGTTCTGGGTGAAGCTTTGAAACATGATTCAGTACAGTAGAGGAAAACATAATTTGCCTTTCTTCAAAAATAGCCATTTCAACACTGTTGCCTCCAAGATTATATTTCTGCTCCAGTTATCCGCCCGCTGTAGCATTTCTTAACTATGTGATTTAGTCAGTTAAGATTTTTGATTTTGAGTAAAGAAAATGAACTCAGGCAGGCTTAAGTAATAAAAGGGACTTTGGTTGTCTAATGATAGAAAGTTCAGATGTAGGTAGGTCTCCAGGATTAGTTTGGTTTAACTTCTCAACAGTGCCATCAAGGATGGATCCAGTTTCTTTCTGTCTCTCTGATCCACATTAAATTCCACCTGGTTCCCCTCAAGTGCGTAGTTGTGAGAAGGAAGTTGTCTGGATTTTTTGTTTGTACAGTGAAAAGGAAGTGGGCTTCTGAAACCTCTTTCAGGAGAGTGAGCGAGGAAGCTTCTTTCTCAGGTGCCACTTTTGACAATTTGCATTTCCCTGATAACTAACGATGTTGAGCATCTTTTATGTCCTTGTTGGCTATTTGCATGTCTCCTTAGGAAAAATGTCTAAGTTATTTGCCCATTTTTTCATTGGGTTTGTCTTCTTGATGAGTTTTAGTTCTTTTCATATTCTGAATACTAGGATCTTGTATAATTTGCAAATATTCTTTCCGATTTTATAGGCTGTCTTTTTCTTTTTCTTTTTTCTTTTTTTTGTTTTTTGTTTTTTTGTTTTTTGAGTTGGAGTCTCTGTTGCCGAGGCTGGGGTGCAGTGGCGCAATCTCAGCTCACTGCAACCTCTGCCTCCAGGATTCAAGCATTTCTCCTGCCTCAGCCTCCCAAGTAGTTGGGATTGCAGGCAAGTGCCACCACACCCGGCTAATTTTTTTTTTTTTAGTAGAGACGGGGTTTCACCATGTTGGCCCGGCTGGTTATAAACTCCTGACCCCAAGTGATCTGCCCGCCTTGGCCTCCCAAAATGTGACTTTCATTTTCTTGATAGTATCCTTTGCACAGAAGTTTTTGATTTTGATGAAGTCCAACTCTTCTTTTTTTTTTTTGAGACGGAGTCTCACTCTGTATCCCAGGCTAGAGTGCAGTGGTGTGATCTTGGCTCACTGCAAGCTCCACCTCCCGGGTTCAAGTGATTCTCCTGCCTCAGCCTCCCAGATAGCTGGGACTACAGGCACCCGCCACCACACCCAGCTAATTTTTTCTTTTTTGGTATTTTTAGTAGAGACGGGGTTTCACCGTGTTAGCCAGGATGGTCTCGATCTCTTGACCTCGTGATCTGCCCGCCTCAGCCTCCCAAAGTGCTGGGATTACAGGTGTGAGCCACCACGTCTGGGTTTTTTTTTTTTTAAAGGTTGCTTTGTTTTAGAGCAGTTTTATGCCCACAGCAAAATTAAGAGGAAGGCAAAAAAGTGTCACACGTACCCTCTGCCTCCACACATGCATAACCTCCTTCATTATCAACATCCCCTATCAGAGTGGTACATATGTTACAATTAAGTAATCTACATTGATGTATTATCACCCAAAATAAATAGTGTACATTAGGATTCACTCTTGGTGTTGGCTTTTCATAGCTTTTAGACAAATTCACAATGATACATAACCACTAATACACTATCATACAGAGGTTTTTTTTTACTGCCTTAAAATCCCCTGTGCTCTTCCTGTTGATCTCTCCCTCTCCCTAATCCTGGCAACCACTACTCCTTTTACATTTATAGTCATAATTGCTAAAAGTTTAGAAACAACCAAGATGTTCTTCAGTAGGTAAATGGATGAAGAAACTGTGGTGCCTTGAGACAATGGAATGTTATTACCACTAAAAAGAAATGAAATATTAAGCCATGACAAGACATAGAGGAAACTTACATGCATATCACTGAGTGAAAGAAGCCCATCTGAAATGTCTTCATACTCTATGATTCCAACTGTATAACATTCTAGGAGAGTCAAAACTACGGAGGTATTATAAAAAGATCAGTTTAACTTTTTGTTACTTGTGGTTTTGGTGTCATATCTAAAAATCATTGCCAAGTCATAGGTCTTTAAAATTTACCCTTGTATTTTCTTCTAAGAAATTTATTGTTTTAGTTCGAATGTTTGTTCTTTGATCCATTTTTAATTTTTGAATATGTTATGAGGCAAGGGTCCAAAGTCATTCTTTTGCATGTGGATTTCCAGTTATCTGAGCTCCATTTGTTAAAAAGACTCTTGATTTTTCATACAGTGATCTTGGTACTCCCGTCAAAAATCTATTGGCCATAGACACATGAGCTCATTTTTGAACTCTGAATTCTGCTCCATTGACCTACATCCTTATGCTAAAACCACACTGGTCTTGTTTCTTGATGCTTTGTAGTAAGTTTCGAAATGGAAGAGTATGAGCTTTCTTACTTTCTTTTTTTTTTTTTCAAGGTAGTTTTGGCTATTCTGGATCTCTTGCAATTTCTATACAAATTTTATTTTTATTTTTATGTTTTTTAATGAATTGGGCTATATCAAAATTGAAAGTTTTGTCCTGTGAATGACATTGTTAAGAGAATAAAGGAGAACCTACAGAATGAGAAGAATACACAAATGAGGTATCTAACAAAGGGCTCTATCCAGAATATACAAGGAACTCTCAAAACTCAACAGTAGCAGAAAAGCCCAATCAAAAAACAGGCGACAGACCTCAAGAGATACTTTATCAAAGAGGATACATGGATGGCAACTAAGCACATGGAAAATTGTTCATCATCATTAGTCATCAGGGAAATGCAAATTAAAACCACAGCGACCCACCAGTATACATTTATTAGACTCTACATGCATTTTAGAATCAGCTTGTCGATTTTGATAGAGAAGTCAGTTATGATTCTGGTAGGGATTACATTGAATCTGTAGATTAATTTGGGAGTAGATTCCTCAATTGTAACATATGTACCACTCTGATATGGGATGTTGATAATGAAAGAGGTTATGCATGTGTGGAGGCAGAGGATATGTGTGACATTTTAACAATCTTGAGTCTTCCAATCTGGGAATACAGGATGTTTTTTCTTTCATTCAGATCTTTAATTTCTTTGAATAATTTTTTTGTAGTTTCCAGAGTATAGGTTTTATACTTCTTTTGTTAAATTTATTATTAAGTATCTCATTACTTTTTATACTATTATAAATATAATTGTTTTAATTTTGTTTTTGGATCGTTCAATACAAGTATATAAAAGGTGTATTGATTTTTGTATATTGAGTTAGTATTCTGCAACTTTGCTGAACTCATTTATTAGTTGTAATGTATTTTCAGTGTATTCCTTAGAATTTTCTATATACAAGATCAAGACATCTACAAATAGAGTTTTATTCTTCCTTTCCAATCTGGATGCCTTTTATTTCTTTTTCTTGCCTTACTATCCTGGCTAGAACTTCTAGCACAATGTTAAATTGGAGTGGTGAGAGCAGACATGAGTATTTTATTCCTCATCTTAGGGGTAAAGCATCTATCTTTCACCTTTAAGTATGATACTAGCCATGGTTGTTTTTTTTTTTTTTTTTTTCCCCCTGCATGTTACGTCGTGTCAAGGAAATTCCTTTCTATTCCTAGTTTGATTTATGTTTTTTTTTTTCAATAAATGGTGTTTTGTCAATTGCTTTTATTGCATCTTTCCATATGATCCTGTGGTTTTGCTATGGTGCATTACATTAATTGATTTTCAGATGTTAAACCAACCTTGCGTACCTGGGATGAATCCCAGTTGGCCATGGTATATAATTTAATTTTTTCATGTTGCTAGGTTTGGTTTGCTATTTTGAGGATTTCTGCATCCATATAATAAGAAATATCTGTTTGTGGTTTTATAGTAGTATCTTTGTCACAATTTTTAAATACCTAGATAATTAGGTTATCTGTGGAATTTTCAACTTGTTATTTTTTCATGGGTCTATCTAAATATACACTTATATTTGATAAAATGGCCTAGGAATGAAGAGTCACCACCATCATTATTTTGAAGATATTTGGTCCTTTTAGGGTTAAAAAGAGAACACAGTAATACCTGTTTTAAAAATGGAATGAATCTACTATATTCATGAACCTGAGCCTGTGTGTCTTTGATTCTCCACCTTTTTTTGTAGGGGGCGGGTGGAAGTTTTCCTTGACTCTGTGTGCATGTGTTTATAGGACTCATTTACCCCATCATTTACTTGAAAAGCAATGAATATCATATAGTGTTAATAAAGTAAAATAAACTTCATGGAGGTTAAGCTTGGATTTGTATTTAGGGTTTTACTACTTTTTTTGATAATTACGCATCAGAATTCTAGAAATAATTGTCACAGAGATAGCAGAATTGTCTAGAGGTACTAATTTACTACACAGGCGTTTTATTTTTTAAGAGCTTGCATATAAAGTGGTTTACAGTACAATCCAGAAAATTAAATCTTATTGTCTTGAAACATCCTGTTATGCATACAAGTGAAGTTTATATCTTTAGTCATGATTCTTTGTGAGTGATTTTTAACAGTTCAAAGTGCTTTCACATTCAAGACCCTATCTGGTCATCATGAAAGCCCTGTAAAAAAGGTGTAGAGTTAATATGACCATTCTCACTTTTCAGAAGTACAAGTTTAGGCATTGAATGACCTTAAGGCTGCAGATCTGTATAATGGCAGAGGGCAGATAGTAACCCAAATGTTCAGAACCCCAGCACTGTGCTCTTTCTTGTAGGTCAGATTATGCACATCAGAGTACCATGTGATGACCATATATTGATTTCTGAATAGTCCTCATCTTTCTCTTTTTGTCCTTTGCTATGCTAGAGTTGAAAGATCTAGGGCTCGGCACGGTGGCTTATGCCTGCAATCCCAGCACTTTGGGAAGCTGTGGTGGGCGGATCGCTTAAGATCAGTAGTTTGAGACTAGCCTGGCCAACATGGTGAAATGCCGTCTTTACTAAAAATATAAAAACTAGCCAGGCATAGTGGCATATGTCTGTAATCTCAGAGACTTGGGAGGCTGTGGTGGGAGAATTGCGTGAACTCAGGAGATTCCAGCCTGGGCAACAGCGCAAGACTGTCTCAAAAAAAAAAAGCTATAGCCACACTTTTTATCAGTGTAATAGTTTCTATGGTGGGTTAAATTCCTCTGAAATAGAGTATTTATGCTTGCTGGAATTTCTGAGCAAGTTTGATAAATAGTAAGAATTGCTTTGTCTTTGGGCCAAGCTCACCATGGTTTGTGGAGTTTGTATCTCTTTGTGCCCCATGATGCTGAAAGAGAGCAAGACCATGCTTTTGTTTTCCAGTCTGTAGGATACCACTCCCTCCTCCAATCACTCGTCCCTGTGAAGTTTCAAGGAATAAGAGTATATTGGTAGAACTAACCTGGGTCATGCCCCTCATCAGTGTTCTCTTTGTTAAGAATGCACTTGAGTGCAGGAAATGGGCAGTTCCTTCTTTTCTGCTTATTAACTGTGTGTACATCAGTTGGGCTTCTTTGATAGCCCAGTTCTGGCTTCTTTTACACAATACACCGAGAAACACCAATTAATAGTATATTATACATTACAGATAATAGTATATTATACTTAACAGATATTCTCATTTGATGCCAACACACTGAAGAAATGTTATCTCTGGTTTCCAAATAACAAAACCTGGGGCTCAGGAACTTTTAAGTGACATGCTTGGAATCATATGGCTAGAAGCTGACACAAGCTGGGGCTAGAAACCTGATCTCAATCAGATTATTAACTCTTCGAGAGCAGGGAGTGCATCTTCATCACTGATTTAGCCAAGCACTTGACTGACACACATCTTGGCACATAGTTGAAGCCCAGAGAGGTATTCAGCAGACGTTGAGCCCCTCCTCCATATCGTGCAGCTGTCCTTGACTCTGAGCTATTGTGAGATTGCTTTGGCAGAAGATTCTGGACTCTTGCAGTGAAACTGAGCCTCTCCTCTTAGAGCCCAGGGGCATCAGCTACTTTAATGGGTGAGAAAATTCTCTCAAAAAAAAAAAAAATTTTTTTTAAACCCTTCTGTCTTGTCTCTGACCTATATAACTTCTGACAGAGGACCTGTGTCGACGTTCGGTCACATACTTTTGCTGGTGCCTGAGCTTCTTGTCCCTTGTGTTTCTATCTGAGACTCACTTCTTGGGCCATGCTTTCTATTTCCTGTTCACATTATTGTCAGAATTAACCCCAAATCACATTACTGCTAAATAATGTCACAGCTTGTCATCATCCTCAAGGGCACATAAACAAAATGTTCCAGACAGCACAGTTGACCCTTGAACAACACAGGTGTGAACTGCATGGGTCCACTTATATGTGGATATATTTCCACCTCTGCCACCCCAAGACAGCAAGACCAACTCCTCCTCTTCCTCACCCTACTCAGCTTGAAGACGACAAGGATGGAGGTCTTTATGATGATGTGCTTCCACTTGAAGAGTACATATATTTTCTTTTCCTTATGATTTTCTTAATAACATTTTATTTTCTCTAGCTTACTTTAATGTAAGAACAGAGGACATACTACATATATAAAATATGTTTTAATCTACTGTTTGTGTTATCTGTGAGGCTTCTGGCCAACAGCATGCTATTAGTAGTTAAGTTTTTGGGGAGTCAAACATTACACAAAGATTTTTCACTGTGCCCGAGGTAGGGGTCAGTACCCCTAACCTCCATGATGTTCAGGGGTCAACAGTATGTATTTTGGAATATACAAAGAGCAATATAATAGTTTTAAGCCTTTAAACAAAAATGCTAGCAAGTGATCATCAACTCCTACCCATGCTTAAAATATTAGTGATTCCTCCAACCCAAATGTCCAACAATGATAGACTGGATTAAGAAAATGTGGCACATATACACCGTGGAATACTATGCAGCCATAAAAATGATGAGTTCATGTCCTTTGTAGGGACATGGATGAAATTGGAAATCATCATTCTCAGCAAACTATCGCAAGGACAAAAAACCAAACACCGCATGTTCTCACTCATAGATGGGAACTGAACAATGAGAACACATGGACACAGGAAGGGGAACATCACACTCTGGGGACTGTTGTGGGGTGGGGGGAGGGGGAGGGATAGCATTAGGAGATATACCTAATGCTAAATGACGAGTTAATGGGTGCAGCACACCAGCATGGCACATGTATACATATGTAACTAACCTGCACATTGTGCACGTGTACCCTAAAACTTAAAGTGTAATAATAATAATAATAATAAAAATTAGTGATTCCTTTAGTTAATTGTTAAAACAAAAATTGATTTTAAAGTTTAAACCACTTTTAAAATATATGAAATATTAAAAACTCAATATATCTTTCATAATTTTATATATAATATATATCAAAAATATAAAGCAGGTTAAAAGTAAAATTTATTTTAAAATTTACTGCAGTTTTTCATCATTGCAGGTAATCCTTTGCTTTAATTAGCATTTTAGCAGGTACCAGCAATCTCTATTCCAGTGCAGATAATAGCCATTCTGCTCAGAAGTTGGTATTTGCTCCACAGACAGTTGTACCAGAATTACCACAAGTGTTGGTTGAAATGCAGAGTCCTGGGCTTAACCCCAGATGGCTAAATCAGAACCTTTGAAGGTGGTGCCCAGGAATTGGTGCACAATCAAGTTGTCCGTTGATTGTGGCGAGCTTTAAAGTTAGAAACCCGCTGGCTAGTGGATCACAGTTCAGGACCAGTATTACAAATGTCTGGTTGAGTCCCTGCTCCATTATTTAAGGCTGCTAAACTTTAGAAAAATTTTTAGGTCTCTCTAAAATTTGACATTTGTATCTGGAAATGAGGACAATAACAGCAGCTACCTCAAGGAAGCGTGAGAATTCAGTGAATTATGTGTAAGCTCATTAGTGTAGTGTCTCATACATAACAAGTGCTCAAGGCATATGATTGGTAGCAGGGCATTTATGGTGGTGCTTGTTGTAATATGAGCTACGTCTTTCTTGTGTTAGGCTTTGACATTGTCATGGACTTTACCTGGGAAAGAACCTCCGAACTGTGGATTTTATATTCAGCCATTAACATTATTTTATATGACCCTTGGGGCAGGTGATGAGGTATCCCCGTTTTTGCATATGTTCATGAAAACACAGCCAATATCTAAAGGTCTTCAGTAAAGATGTTTTGAAAGATTGAGCAACTAGAATGCTTTTTTTTGGTCACGTGGGTTTGATTGCTGGTACTTTTCATGTGTTCTTGGATGTTTGTGTCTTTCTCTGCAGGACTGTCTCATTCTTCTTTCACGTGGTCATCTAACTCCATTCTTTCCCTTGGCTTGCTTGTTTAATGGATCATGATATAGACCTGTAGGGTATTAATAAGCTCTACTGTTTATGTAATATAACTAGCATAATATATAGCATTTCTCTTTTAAAAAAACCAACAAAACCTCCTGCAAACTATAATGAAAAGACTTGATATGCTTTTTAATGGATATTTTTATTAGCACACTGGCTTTCAAATAAGCGGAAAAAATGTTCCCATCCCTTTTTTTTTTGGCTCCTTTGTGTTGCTGGCTCAGAGTGTTTTATTGTTTGATGGAGTAGATAAAATTCCCCTGATGTTTCCTACTCACACTAAATTTGGAATACACCTACAGTATTCTTTTAGGCTTTATTGTTTCCTAAACCATCTATTTAAATACAGCCCTAAAGCTCAAACGGAACACTGTTATTGTGGCTAAGAATAATATGTGTAATGGAGCAGTAGATTAGACTTCATTACCATCCTCAAAATCATGCAGAAGCCAGTGTTCCCACAAACTACTCAATACATTCTAGTGATTATTAAAATTTGCCGCTATCATGGTAAATGTTTCGTGGTGACTTCTAGTGATCTGTAAGCAGAGTGGTAGGAAGAACTTGACCTTTAAAATCTAATGGGGACTTTATAAAAACCCTGGTGTTTGGGGCAGAGACAACCATGAGAACAATGGTCAAGGGGAAGTCTGTTGACCATCACGGAACAGAATAGGATGATCTGTGGGATTCTGCTGCATTTGTAATAGAGTGAGGAGCTTTTAGTGTTTTATGTTGACACTTTTCTGAAATGGAGAAAGTTGGTAGCCCTTTCATAGGGAATGGTTGATTCAATTCTCTTATTTAATTTTTCTTTTATCATTGATCAGAAAACCTTTATATTTGTTACATCACCCTGTTCATTCGGTTATGAGACGTAATATCCAAGTCTCCAAGTGAATTTGGTCTAAATTATTTTTAATAGTGAACCTCACGTACTTGTTCGGTAACATTAAAATAGATGATTTTATTATTTAAATTATTCTGTTACACTTTATGATTCTATGCTATAAGAAATCTTGCTTTTCCAGTCTGAAATCCCCATCTGCCATTCCCTATCTCACTGTATTCTCTCTTCTAATAATTCCAAATCTCAAAAACTTCTGCCTAGTTCATATGCCACCTGCTCCAAGAAGCCAACCTGCTTTCCAAAGACAAAATGAATTACTTTTTATTTTGCATTTTAATTTCTGTACCCTAAGAGACTTTTTGCCTAGACTTCTATTTCACAGTTACTTCATTACCTTTTAATATCAGTATTATACAAACCGTTGAACCTATGAAATTGCCATTACTCAATTATGTTTGAGCTATAAAACATGTCAAGCTCATATTGTTGAGCCAAATTCTCAATTCAATATTAACTGGACAAACTTTTGAAAATTAGCTGTGGTATGAGTTACTTAAACACATCTTAGACTTGGATTTATGTATCTCTCCTAGAGTACTTAGAGTTTTTGTACATGAGAATGTATTAAATGTTTGTGTGTGTGTGTGTGTGTGTGTGTGTGTGTGTGTGTGTGTGTGTGTCTCCTATCGCCCAGGCTGGAGTGCAATGGCACAATCACGGTTCAGTGCAGCCTTGACTTCTGGGGCTCAGGTGATCCTCCCACCTCAGCCTGTTGAGTAGCGGGGACTACAGGCACGCGTCACCATACCTGGGCTAATTTTTCTGCACTTTTTAGACACAGTGTTTTGCCATGTTACCCAGTCTGGTCTCTGGGCTCAAGTGATCCGCCTGCCTTGGTGTCCTAAAGTGTTGGGATTGCAGGCGTGAGCCACTGCGCCCGGCCTCAATACATCTTTGATGGAATAAATTGGATTGGATTTGTCTAAATTACCATTACTCCTTATAAGACAGATAATAATGGATGATCTAGAGATGATGCCTGACTGTGGGCCCCACGCTTTTAAAGCCAGGATGTTTGAGCTCACTGTGTACTTTGTCCAACCCATTTCAATGTTGTCAGATAACCCAAGGTAAACTTTGTCAAGTCACTCTTCCTTATTTTTAAATTTCATATTGTCACCTTTGTTGAAACATTTTTCTTTATTTTGCCTGTACTTGTTTTGCTTTGCTTAATGTAGCAACAGTAATTCTTGTATTTTCTTCTTTTCCTCCCTCAGAATTTTTAACTAACCTAACTCTTGCCGGAAGGTCTGTCAGTGTGCCTCCCCTTCCCTGCCCCGGGAAAATGCTCCCTGGCTTTGTTTGTTTAATCATGGAAAAAATCCTTTCTTTCTTTTGAAGTTATATTCTGTGCTTGCTAAAGGTCCAGTTAAATCACAAGAGATAAAAGTTATACTGACAACCTTGGATGTTCCCTGCCCTTTTGCCAGAAATAGCAAACTAGATACTCATCTTATACAAAAATATGTACATGTTCATCTTCACTAAAAACAACTTGTATTTGGTCTTTCTTAGCAGAGCAGATGTTTAAGTCAGCACACAGTGTAAAATCTGGGGAATAGTGGAGGTGAGGGTGTCAGAGGGGTTGGAAAAAAAAGGGTTGGGGAGAACCAAGTGTGGTGCTAAATGAATGGAGAAAATTGATAGACTATTGATAGAATCTTTAGTTTAATATCACATAATCTCTTAGCTACCTATAGTATAAGTAGTATAGTATAGTGGAGTAGCTATGAAAGCTCAAGCTATGTTTTTTAGCTCACTTATATTTTTTCCTAACTGGGAGAAATTTTACATGTGAAAAGGATATGTGTGGATTGGAGAGAAATTGTGAAGGCTGGATGGCAGTTGGAACTCCTGGGGTCAGGTGATCCTCTTGCCTCAGCCTCCCAAGTAGCTGGGATTACAGGTACGCACCACCACACCTGGCTAACTTTGTTTTTTTTTTTTTTTAAGAGACAGGGTCTTGCTATGTTGCCCAGTTTTGTCTTGAATTCCTGGGCTCGAGCAGTCCTCCTGCCTCAGCCTCCCAAAGTGCTGGGATTACAGGTGTGAGCCAGCTTGCCTGGCCGAAAATATTTTTCTTTATGTGAATTTCTTTTGTTCTTGAATCAATAATTTTGCAGCAAATTACTTTTAATTAGGTAACAATTCTTTGGTTTTACATTGGCTCTTTTACAAGCTAATGGGCATGTACAGACATTTTTCATTTTTAGACCAACCCATTGTTTGAGGGGGCTGGAACATGAGACACTATAGTTGTCTACGTAGTTGAAATTGATAGTTTTAATAATTAAATAAGGTGACTTATTTTCTGACATTCTCTGGCACGAGTAATATAGGAGAATAGGTTATTGTAAATCTATGGAAGGAGGCGTTCCATGCCTGTATGCAAAGATATATATGTGTTTCTGCTGTTGCAATAAATAATTCAATAAAACAGAATAGATTTTATTGAGCATGGATCATAAACTCAGGGGTAGGGATCAGTGTATTCTAGTGCCTAGGATGATGCGTTGCTCATGGCAGATCCATTGTCTGTTGAGTGAATGGTTAAGTTGATAAATAACATGTCTACTGATTGCTTAGTACCATGTGATGAGCTTCAAAGGACATAGAAAAAAATGTAATACTATTAAGCATGGTCCTTGAGGTAAATTAGGAGTAGAAACAAAAATCAGTACATATTTAGGGAATGATTAGTCCTGAAATCTATAGTACTTAAGGTAATTTTTATAAAAGACGAGATGAAAGAAGCATCAGCAGTGAAAATGTCATCTTTTGATTACTGAATACCTATTTTACACCATTTATTGTGCTAAATGTTTTACATGTGTATTATCTCAGTGGAAGTTTCATGACAAATCTGCGAGTACCATCCCTGTTATTTTTCTGTAATGTAATCAAAGTCAGTATCTTGCTTAAGATCACCTGGCAGTTATGTGGCAGGGCTAGATTATGAGACCTATTTTATTTGCCTCTTTTACTACACTGCTGTTTAATTGGTTGACTAGTTTTCTAGAACTCTCTGGACCAGGGTTGGTACTGGTTGGTCATTTCGTACCAGAGGCTTTCTGAATGTTTGCACACCCAATGGAGGAAGACTTGGGGCTCTGTGTAAACCACAGGCATGATGCAGGTAGAGCTGCTGTCAGTGGACTAGGGCTCCTCCCACTGTTATCAGTTCAGTGATAGGAAGATGGCATGTTGTAGAGAGAGAGACTTAAAGGGCTTCCTTTGTCTCTTTCCTCATCAGTACCAGTATTAAAATCCACACCCTACCTTTTTTAGTGATGTTGTCAAACTGATCAATTTCCATTGCTTATAGAAATACTTTATGTGTACCTATAAACAGTCTTAAACACAAAATGAAATGTTAAACATGGCTGCCATTGTGTTTTAGTTACTTACAAGTTGGAAACTAATGGAATTGATAGATCTCTGTTGATTGTGGAGCCATTTCCTGGGAAGCTTTTTAGAAATACCAGTTATTTTACCCTAATCTCTGGAAATTCTAAGCCAGTAGGCTTGGGATGGGAGGCAGGAAATCTTTTATTTACTTATCTAACATATACGTTGCTTTTTTTTTTCTTTTGGACCATCTTAACCATTTTTAAACGTACAGTTAAATTGTGTTAAGTATTATATATTCACAGTGTTGTGCAATAGGCATCCAGAACTCACTTTGTCACCCAGACTTGAGTGTGGTGGTGTGATCACAGCTCACTGCAGCCTCGAACTTTCAGGCTCAAGAGATCCTCCCACCTCAGCCTCCATTGTAGCTGTAGCTACAGGTGTGCACCACCATGTCCAGCTAACTTAAAAAAAAAACAACTTTTTTTTGTAGAAATGGAGTCCCACTATGTTGCCCAGGCTGGTCTTGAACTCCTAGGCCCAAGTGATCCTCCAGCCTTGGCCTCTCAAAGAATTGGGATAAGGCATGAGCCACCACACCTGGCTTGGAACTTTAAGTGGAATCAGTCAGTATTTGACTTTTTGTGAGTGGCTTATTTCACTTAGCATAATGTCTTCAAGGTTCCTCCATGTTGTAGCATGTGACAATTTTCTTCCTTTATAAGGCTGAATAATAGTACATAGTATGTGTCTACCACATTTTGTGTATCCATTCATCTTTTGATGGACTTTTGGGTTTGCTTCCACCTCTTGGCTAATGGGAATAATGCTGATGTGAATGTGGGTAGCAAGGGACCCTGCTTTTAATCCTTTCAGATATATATCCAGAAGTGGAATTGTTGGATCATATGGTAATTCTGTTTTTAACTTTTTGAGGAACCGCCATACTGTTTTTCTTAGCAGTTGTACCATTTTATAATCCTACCAACAGTACACAAGAGTTTCGATTTTTCACTTTCTTGCTAACACTTATTTCTTTCTTTTGATAGTAGCCATCCTAATAGGTGTGAGTTGTCTGGAAGTCTTTTAAAAGCCCATGGTGATTCTGATGGTAAGCTAGTTGTGTGAAGCGCTATCTCAGCAAGACTTTTTGTTTGGAAACTGCAAGTTTCTCACCAGTCCATTGAAAAAGGACTCAGTATTTCTGCAAAAGTAGTTTTCAATGGAAAGTTACCTTATCAAGTTATCTTGTTAAGTTGGGTTGAATTTAGGTCCTTTCCAGATCGAGAGTTTTATAGTTTTGCGAGTCCATCTTACATACTGTTCTTTTCCTATGGAAATCTTTTTGTTATTTTTAATTGTCATAAAATATGCGTAACATAAATTTACCAGCACAACCATTTTCCAGCGTACAATTCACTAGCATCAAGTATATTCACATTGTTTTGCAACCATCAGCACCATACATGTCCAGAACTTTTTTCATCTTGCAAAATGGAATCTCTTTACCCATTGGACAGTAACTTCTCATTCCCCTCAGCCCCTGGTACCCGTTCTATTTTGTGTCTCTACGAATTTGACTGCTTTAGGTACCTCATATAAGTGATTTCTTCTGGTGACTGGCTTATTTCAAATTTTAAAGAAGTTTGAAAATACCTTGTGCAACATTTGAAAAATGTCTCTTTGATAGACATTTACTGAGTGCCTACTGTGGGAAGAGAATACCGTATATCAAGTCTGGGATGCAGGCATATTCTCTCCCACTCTCTCCTGACCTGCTTTTAAACGTCTCTGAAGGCGATTTGGCATTGTCTAATAGTTTAATGGATAGAGTTTTTGTCTCTTATTTGCACTTAAAATAATACGGTACATTTTACAATCTCTAGGAACTCATTTCCAGTGACGGGGGTAGGTGGTTCCTGTGAGGGAAAATGATTGTCTACAAAACACTCATTTAGGGATACCCCTATAATTCCCAGGCTATAAATGTTTTAATTTAACTCAGGAACAGAGAAGTTATTTGGTATCATTAATCAGTACATTTGAATCATTACTCTGAATGATTATGCTTCATTTATTTTGTGTCAGAATGTTTTCCACACAATAATAGAGAATAAAAGTGCATCATTAATTACAGTTGAGCAGCTCACACAAATGTGGGTGTATACATATATTTCTATATCATCACACAATTATGGAAATTTGAAATTTAATATAACAAGTAATCCTTACAAAACAGTCAAATATTTAATTAAGTAACAGTGTTAAATGTATGGCCATTTATAATTATGCCTTGTAACAGTTTTAACTAATGCTTGAAAAAGGTTGGTGAAACATTTCCACAAGCACGTGTCTTCTGTTTCTAGATGAAAACATTTTTAGTAATATGGTTTTTGTCTTTTGGGGTAACAGTTATGTGCTTTGGAGAAAAGTACAATTTTTTGAAATGGGATCAAGTAATTTGCAGAGCTTCACTGTGACAATTTATGAAAGAGGAGACTAATTGTAAAAAGTTATACTTCTATGCATGGAATTTTGGCTTTTCTCCTTGACTGTAAATGCGCACTCCTCCTGATTAAGATCCACTGTGTAAATCTGCTCTTGTAGGTTCCAGAACTCCCATGCCCCTCAGTAACTGCTTTCCTTCAGTTTGGCTGGCTGGGACTCTTGTCAGAAAGCCACTAAACAAACAAACAAACTTCACATGGAGTCGCTGCAATATTACAAAAACACACTGTATCTTCCTTGGTCTAAAAGGCAGATGAAAGAAGCCAGGCCACCAGTTTGTTACATCAGCTGCATTTATTCTCCAGAGTGAAGCGGAGGACTTAATTTAGAAGTTTAATAACTTCTTAAAAGACAAACACATCTCCCTCTTATAGATGAGAAAATACATAGACAAGAAAAATTAAGGCAGTTTAACTGATGCTACAAGGAAAATTGGGCAGAGAACTAAATTTGGGAGATTCCTGGACAAAGTAACCATGTCCGAGAACTTGTTCTTTCTCTTTTTGCAACAAAGCCAAAATAATTTCAACACTTTTTAAAGCCACCAAACAATTTTCAAATGATTTCTTAAACACTGCTTCAGTTTATTCTCAGAATGAATTTGTGATTTACAGTTTTTATCACCATTTTGAGTCAATTGTCCAAGGTTACTCATCTCACAAATGATGGGGGTCAGAACTAGGATTTGGGACTTCTTGCTCTTAGGCCTGCTTCATTTTCGGTGCATCACTCTGAGTGATTCACTAACTTAATCACATTTCATCCCCTGCCCCCTAATTATTATACTGTTAATTATAAGTTTTTAATGTTAACTTTTATAGTTTCAAAATTTTGCTACAGGTTGAAGCCATAATTCTTTTAGTATAGAATATACCCTTGAGTATAGAAGAACATGAAAAAGAAGTGAGATTTGATATTAAAACATGATTTAATATTTTGTGGAGTACTCATAGTCCAAATACAGTGCTGTAGTTTGAATGTGTCCCCTTGTTGGTGGGAGTGTAAATTAGTTCAACCATTGGGGAAAGCAGTGTGGCAATTTTTCAGAGAGCTAAAGCAGAACTACCATTCGATCCAGCAATCTGATTACTGGTTATATATACCCAGAGGAATACAAATTATTCTGCCATAAAGACACATGCATACTTAGGTTCATTGCAGCACTGTTCACAATAGCAAAGACATGGAATCAACCTAAATGTCCATCAGTGACAGACTGGATAAGGAAAATGTGGTACATATACACCACAGAATACCATGCAGCCATAATAAAGAATGAGATCATGTCTTTTGTGGGAACATGGATGAAGCTGGAGGCTGTGATCCTCAGCAAACTAACACAGGAACAGAAAACCAAATACCACAGGTTCTCAATTACAAGTGGGAGCTAAATGATGAAAACACATGAACACAAAGAAGGGAACAACAGACACTGGGGTCGACTTGAGGGTGGAGGGTGGGAGGAGGGAGAGGAGCAGAAAGAGTAACTATTGGGTGCTGGGCTTAATACCTGGGTGATGAAATAATCTGTACAACAAACCCCCGTGACATGAGTTTACGTATATAACAAACTTTCACATGTACCCTCAAACCTAAGATAAAAGTTAAAAAATAAAAAGGAAATTCATGGCCAATGTGATGGTATTAAGAGGTGGGATCTCTAAGAGGTAATTAGGCCATGAGGGCTTCTCCTCTCATGAATGGGATTAAGGCCCTTATAAAAGAGGCTTCACATAGCCTTCAGCTCCTTTGCCCTTCCACCTTCCACTGTGTGGGGAACACCACAGTGTTCCTTTCCTCCAAAGAATGCAGGGTCAAGGCACCGTCTTGGAAGCAGAGAACACCCCTCACCTGTCTGACAAACCTTCCAGCCCCTTGATCTTGGACTTTCCAGCCTCCAGAATTGTGAGGAAAAAAATTTCTCTACTTTATAAATTACCTAGGTTATTTTGTTTTTATAATCTAGGTTATTTTATCATAGCAGCACAAATGCACTAAGATGTGCAATTATGAAAACAGTCGTATTTTAAATATAGTGAAGAAAGTAAATCTACCTTTTAAAATTTTCTTTTAAAAAATATAATAGCTTTATCAAGGTATAATTTATGTACCATACAATTCCCCTATTTAAAATGTACAGTTCTTTAGTTCTTAATATATTCAGAGTTGTGCAACCATCACCACAATTAATTTTAGAACATAAGAAAACCTACTTTTAAAGTAGTGGTATTCAGGGATATCCGGCTTGTTTTCAGTTTTTGGCTGTAAAGAGCAGAGCTGCTTTTAAGAAAGTATAGGTAATTATAACAAAATAATTAATCTTCAAGTTAATGTCAGAATTGTGTTTGAAAACCTTTAATTACACTGTAATTATTTCTCAGCCATTTAGAGACACTTTCTGCTGGTGTGCTGGGCTGGGAAAATTTTACTAGATGTTTAAAATGCCTGTCTTGTGTGTATGGCTTTTTGTTGTTGTTATATCAGTGTCTTACTGTTTTTCCACTTTTTTGTGTGTAGTCAGAGAAACAAAGTACATTGATGTTTGTTTAAAGGTATGAGTTTCCTATATTGTGGGAGGAGCTATAAACATACATGTGGTTATTAAATGTAGATTTATGTTTTTGCTTATTAAGTTCACAGTGGAATATAGGCAGAAAACTTTACATAGCATTGTTTAATGATCAGTGGTTCTCAATGTTTGATGCAGATTAGAATCACATGAGTATTTAAAAATACCAGTACCTTTACCTACTCCCCAGAGATTGTAATTTAATGGGTAATTTAATCTGGCATGGGACCTACATGTCAATAGTTAGCCAATTTAAGTTTCCTGTATGATTCTGATGTGTGGCAGGATTGAGAGCCATTGCTTTACATTCTTGCTATCAGATTTTAGTAACAGAAACCTGCAGCTTATTATTATTTTTTTAACCTAGCTTACCTTTTATCTGTCTGATCCTTCAAGAAGGACTGATTAAACCAAAGCTAGATTAGAAAATGGAGAAAAGGACCCTGACTAAATCACTGGCCAGAACCTTTGAAGCTAATTTGCCATATTTTTTATCTTCACATCCTCAGTGCTTAGTAAATTCCTGCTCTGTAGACGTTCCTTCCTTCCCTTCCTTCTTGTCCCTTTCTTCCTTTCCTTTTATTCCTTCCTTCAACACTTATTAAGTGCCTACTGTCTGTTCCAGCACTGTTTTATATCCTGAGGATATAAATACAATTTGGAATCCTTCTTACATTTGAGTTGGCAGAAGATGCCTAATAAATATTTGTTGAATTGAATAGAATCACAGCTGAGCCCTCTTGGCATACTGCTGTGCTGTGTGCTTCAGTTCCTTTGTAGAAATTATGCCTTTTTGATATCCAGGAACAGTCCAAGCATTATCTGTCACTTCCTCATTTGTCTGTCTTTTTCCCCTTTCTAGTCAGGAACATGCCAGCTTTAGCCAGGCTTAAGCCATCAGGATGTAGTTGGTTAAGACAGGTAACTTTGGTATCCCTTCTCCATGAATCCTCCATAATCTGTACATAATCTGTACAACAAACCCCCATGACATGAGTTTACCTATATAACAAACTTTCACATGTACCCCCAAACCTAAGATAAAAGTTAAAAAATAAAAAGGAAATTCATGGCCAATGTGATGGTATTAAGAGGTGGGGCCTTTAAGAGGTGATTAGGCCATAAGGGCCTAATCATTGATATCCAGGAACATTCCAAGCATTGGAATGGTACCTGGTACCTGGGATCCACTGAATTATGGAGTTTTGGGTAAGATCAGAGTCCAGTTAGATGATAGGGAAAGTGGATATTTTGGTGGGTTTTAAGTTAGAGAAGGCTGTCCCAGGAGACCTTCTGCAGGTTTTAGAACCCTGTTTGGCCTCTTGGCAGATTTCCTTCTCTGGGAGCAAGAGGACACATGCTGTCTTCCTGTACCAGTTTATCAGAGCTCACTGGGTTTGTTCATCCCTCCTGTACTTCCCTAGAGTTGCTTGGATGTTTTAGAGTTGACTTGACATACCGAAAAAGAGTGCTTCAGAGTAGCAAAATGTGCACATGCATCTGTGCATGCGTACACACACACACACTCTCTCTCTCTCTCGAATGAGAAAACAGTAGCAGAAGGGACAGTGTTTTACATTGCTTTTTAATCAGTGATTCTTTTACTTGGTTATTTCTAGCTTTCCAGCCTCTCAGCCTATAGAAAATGTCTTCTAAATAAGAGTAAACAGGTATAGATTGCTGGGTTATGTATATTTCTGCAGTGCTTCTATTGAAAATATAAAATGGGGCAAGAAAGATTGCAAAGCTTATTAACAAGGCATTCCTTCTGTTTGAGTCTTTGCTGTTACTATTGGCATTATTAAATTTATGTATGCGACCATGCATAATGATAACTAGAGACATAGCATGCCCCGTGCTCTTAGGAAAATATTTTCAAAAGTAAATTCAGCTTTTGTTTTGTAAATGAAGTGATTGGAGTTTAGTCTTTGGGGTTCTTCCCTCACACTGCATTCCCCCCTCAATCCTTATACTTTGTATTTGGGCCATTTGACTCCTTATTCCATTTTGCAAATAGTGTATTTTGTGGACATGTGTGTTGGTGTGTGCCTGTTTAAAAAATATTTTGTTTGGTAACCCTTTGGGTATACCAATGGAGCTTCTGTGTGGCCACCACTAGAACAAAACTTCCTAATTTCAGTGTCATTAAGTCAGCAGCTGGTGCAGCTGAACTCAAAGAAACAAGCATAGTTATTGACTGTTTTCTCTAAAAACAGCCTGAACAAAGCATTTCCTTAAGCAGCATTGAGCAGGATTTAGAACTTCCTATGCCTCAAAAAAGTCTTAGAGAGATTTACGGAAGTACAAAGGTCAACATTACTGCATGTGATTCCACTGTCCTACCCTCAATCTATGGCAAATAACTGATTTTTTAAAAAATCTTGTATTTTAAAATCATGTGATCAGAATTCCTGAGCAAAAAAGAAAAAAAAATCAGTCAAATAGATGGCTGTATTAGTCCATTTTAATACTGCTATGAAGAAGTACCCAAGACTTGGTAATCTGTAAAGAAAAAGAGGTTTAGTGGACTCACAGTTCTACATGGCTCGGGCGGCCTCACGATCATGGCAGAAGGCAAAGGAGGAGCAAAGACACGTCTTAACGTGGCAGCAGGCAGGAGAGCATCTGCAGGGGAACTGCCCTTATAAAACCATTAAATCTCATGAGACACTCACAATCATGAGAACAGCGTGGGAAGAACCCACCGCCATGATTCAATTACATCCCACCGGGTCCCTCCCATGACATGTGGGGATCATGGGAACTATAGTGCAAGATGAGATTTGGGTGGGGACACAGCAAAACCATATCAATGGTCATATTAGCTACTTCTTGACAACCTTCAGCAGTGTCTGAGGAGTGTGACAACACAGATGCTGGGTTATTTAAGAAAGGAGAGTTTCAAAAATTGTAGCTTACATTGTAGTCATTGTGTGCTATTTTTTGTATGTATGTATGTATTTATACACACAGAAATGGGGTCTTGCTCTGTCACCCGGGTGGCGTGCAGTGGAGCCATCACAGCTTGCAGCTCAGGATCCTTCTGCCTCAGCCTCCCAGGTAGCTGGGACCATAGGCATGTGCCACCACACCTGGCTAACTTTTTAAATCTTTTGTAGAGGACCTTGCTATGTTGCTTTGGCTGGTCTTGAACTCCTGGCCTCAAGCAATCCTCCTGCCTTGGTCTCCCAAAGTACTGGGATTATAGGCGTGAGCCACTGTACCTGGCAGATTGTATGCTATTTTTAACGTTGTTTAGTTTCTTGTAGATAATCTTTTATATATATATATATATATATATATATATATATATATATATATTTGTATTTCTTAATTCTTAAAAAGATCTTGGAAATAGTAGACATTTAGGAGTTGATAAGAATTCATGCATTTTTCATTATCATATTTTCATATTTCTTTTTAATGAGCATGTACCATATTCCAGACACTCCATTAAGTGCTAATAGGTACAAAAGAAATGTATGATAATATATAATCACTTGAGTTGTAATAAAGGTAGAATATAATTTGAAGTGAAGCCAAATGGCATTGATCTGCCTTCATCTATTTCCAGGTAAATTTGCATTTCTAGTTAAAATTTCTTTTGTAGAGAGAACTTGGAGGTTCATAAGGAGGTTTGGATACTACCCCAGTATTCTATATAGTATGATGTAAGTTTCTGCGGTAGATTGTCCAGTTGTTCAGGTGGGGGGGTTGGGGAGGAAAATTTAGAAGATGCTATTCATTACATTACACTAACACTCTTCTGTTAATATGTGGAGAATTGTTCATTCTTTCCCATTGGTATTGATTTAAAATAAGAAATCACCATACACAGTCAGACCCATGACCAATCAGTTTTCTCCCCTGTAGCTTCATGATGGGGTTGCCTCTTTAACGTAGTTCACTCGTATCTTAATTTCTTTAAGCTACTACTTGTTTCTTTGAATCCATTTCGGTTTGCCATTCAGTCATTTCTTTTTTTTCTTTTTTGAGACGGAGTCTCGCTCTGTCGCCCAGGCTGGAGTGCAGTGGTGCGATCTTGGCTCACTGCAAGCTCCGCCTCCCGAGTTCACGCCATTCTCCTGCCTCAGCCTCCCGAGTAGCTGGGACTACAGGCGCCTGCCACCACGCCCGGCTAATTTTTTTGTATTTTTTTTTTTAGTAGAGACGGGGTTTCACTGTGTTAGCCAGGATGGTCTCGATCTCCTGACCTTGTGATCCGCCCACCTCACCCTCCCAAAGTGCTGGGATGACAGGTGGAAGCCACTGCGCCCGGCCCCAGTCATTTCTTAAAACTTGATGAAGTTTTAAAAAATTTTAGTCTTGCGGATTATAGGTTTAACACCTGCCATATGAAATAGCAATTGATTCATTTTCTTTATATTATTTGTATTTGTCTCAGGTTTTAATAAAATACTCCTGTGTGTACTGTTGCCAGGATGAGATGGACAAATGGTGTTATAAAATTCTTGGCAACTAGGATTCCATAGATTATTTAGTTTATGTTTCTAGACTGAAACTCCATATTATTTTTATATAGTACTCTCCATTCTCATGATGAATAAAGTGTAAGTAGTTGTCATCTTTAACATGCATTACTTATTAGGGTGTGGTGGTTAACATTATGAAGAGCATCACAGTTCTGTAAAGGTAATTTTTGTTTTGAGTTCTATTTGGTAATGCTTATATTTTGTTGATATTTGTGTTGTGTTAACAGTATTAGAGAGCTGTCTTCTATAAGTTGTTCATAGTGACTGTTGGACCCACTTCCTGTTTATTCACAACTGCCATCCATGTTCCCACAAACTTCAATCAATTATTTTTTTTTCCTCATGAAATATCTTTTACTTATCTATAAGGGAAATGTTACAGACCCAACCCCAGAGTCTCAGAAGGTCTGCTGCATTGCCCACCCAGGGAGCTTTAAAACTTCATTGCCCTTCTCATTCCTGCTGCCTTAACAATGCCATTCTCACTCTCATAGATTAGTATCTGCTTCACCAAGACAGTAGATCTCTGTAAGTCAAGAACTCTTATCAGCTTCTTCATGACCAATTAGTGGGCCTATCCCTGCCTAGTCCTCTTCCATCCTTCCCCTCACTCTGCGGAAGGTGAGTTGTTTTGGATGGTGGCTGTTGCTGGCAGGGTCCAGTCTCTAAAGTTGTATCTTGAAAAAACAAACAAACAAACAAAACCCCATATTCCTCTGTTTTCATCCTCTAGAAAAGACTCTTGCCCTCTTTGGCCCTTGGCTGAAGGAGAGCTTCTTAAGAGCTTGTCCCCACTTCATAGTCCATTCTATCTCCAACTCAAGGTGCCTGAGTGTACACACCTGCTGCGAAGCTCTGTCTTGGCTAGTGGTCGTTTACCTGCTAAGCACAGTGGTTTCATGAGTTATCTTCTTTGACTTCGCTTTTGCATTTGATGTGGTTGATTACTTCCTGCTTTAATTTTCTTCTCTTGGCTCTCATGTCATTCCTATGCTGCTGCTGCTTCCTGTCACTTTGTAGTCTTGTGGATGGGTCTCCTCTCCTTCTTGTCTCTAAATTTGGCATTTGAAAGAGTTTCATCTGTCTTCCTCGTTTCTCTATTTGCCCTTACATCATGTGCCCATTTATTTCTGCGGCTTCAAATTCTACCCATAGAGTAATGAGTCCTTAAATAGATCTCTTCACCTCTCTTGAGCACTAGCTGGTGAGGGCCAGCTTCATATTTGTCATCTCTTTCTTGGATATATAGCATTTCAAACTCATCATGTTCACAACTTTGTTCTTTATCTGTTGCTTTAAAATGCCTTCATTTCCTATTTTTATTAATGAATCTTTGACCACCAGATGCGACATTCCTAAACCTAGGAACCATTTTTAAGTCAGTATTATCCTTCACTCTTTTCACGTCTCATGAGTCACCAAGTCATGCTGATATACCTTTCTTAATATTCTTCTTCTATTTTTTTATTGGACTATTTTTGTAATCTCCTATTTTCTGCCTCTGTTACCTGTGTTCATTTTCTAAACTGTTGGAAAAGATACTATGCTAAAATATGTCTGATTGTGTCACTCTTTTGTTTAAAATATATGATTCCCCATAATTTATGGTCTAAAACTCAAATAACATTGTCCTCCTGGTCTTGTTTCTACCCAGCCTTTCCAACCTCTCCACTATTTGGGATGTTTAGTACCTGGACCTGTGGTGTTGCTCCATGCTTTTGCACGTATGATCTGTCAGAATGTGCCTTCGTACCTCATCTGTGTCACCATAACTCACTCTGCAGGCCTCACCACCATCAACTCTACTCTCTCCAGACTTATTTTCTTTTCCATGCTTAACAGAATCTTTTCCAGTGTCCATTCATATTCGCGGGGGATTTGTTCCAGGATCGGTGCATAGTCAAGTCCTGCCCTGTGGAACCACCTATAGGAAAAGTCAGCCCTCCATATATAGAGCTTCACTTCCCTCTAGTACTATATTTTTCATTTGTGTTTGGTTGGGGAAAAAGAGCCACATGTAAGTTGACTCAGGCAGTTCAAACCTGTGTAATTCAGGGGTCACCTTTGCTTACAATGCTTAGTATGATGAATAGCTACTGTTTGTTAGCATGTCTGTCTATCCCATTACATTTGACCACTTGGAGGGCTAAAACCTTAGTCTCTTTTGTATTCACAGCAGCTGTCACAGTCCCTGGCACATAGAAGACATGACAATAAATACACAGGAGCCTTGACAGAAGTAAGAATCAATAGTTGGTCAGTTTGTCAAAAAGTTAGTTAAAAGATAGAGGAGTATAAAGATGATGTATACATACCTTCATTATTTTATTCAAATAGGCCGGGTGCAGTGGCTCATGCCTGTAATCCCAGCACTTTGGGAGGTCAAAGTGGGCAGATCACTTGAGGCCAGGAGTTCGAGACCAGTCTAGCCAACATGGTGAAACCCAGTCTCTACTAAAAATACGAAAATTAGCTGAGTGTTATGACGCATGCCTGTGGTCCCAGCTACTGACGTGGCTGAAGCAGGAGAATCGTTTGAACCTGGGAGGTGTAGGCTGCAGTGTGCTGAGATTGCACCACTGCACCCCAGCCTGGGCAAGAGAGCAGAGCTCAGTCTCAAAAAAAAAAAAAAAAGAAAAAAATTTTATTTGAACATAACACGTAAAAAATACATCTTCTATCAATCTTTGGATGTAGGATCCACACTTTCTTCCAGCATGAATCCCTAGATGGAGTTTAGTGTTAATGCTTCTTACCAGGATTACAGCCATGATGGATTGTCCATTATTTCTGATATTTCTTTAAAGAGAAGTAAACACTTTTGAAGATATTTCTTATTTTTTCCATTGTAGTACAATTAGGATAGCTTCCTTATTCAGTATTAAAAATTGTTTTAAAAAATTGTTATAGTAGCTGAATCTTTAAAATTTTTCAAAACATACAACTTATTTTTCGTAGAAATAGACACTGTGCTGCATTTCATCCTCTTATTTCACTTCCTTAAGTAATGTATCATTTAATTAAATCACATTTTAAAAATAAGGCATTACTGCATAAACAAGTTTAGGATAAAAACCTCTTATTAAAAATGTGCCTTGGCTGATGGGAGCTGAGGTACTCGGTCTGCTCAGAGAGGAGCCAGCTGTCTGGTCACATTCCAGGTGCATCAGTCAGTATGATTTACAAGGGGAATGGAGCTCATTGGTTAATCTGGACAGTTGGTTAAGCGGAAGTTGGTTAAAAGGATTCTACCATATTTATCAGATTGCTGCTAAAAGGATGTTTTATCTCTGTTACATGGCATTTTGGTAACTAGAAGAGCTTAATACAAACTTGCCTACTTTCCTGTATACCCCTTCCCTGACATCATTTATAAAAATGTTAAATAAGACCATTTTGAGCACCTGTCTCCTGGAAGTGTGCATGCTTATATATCTGTTTCTCTGTCATTTATCCACTGCTTTCACCATGGCAAAATGTAATTTTTAAAACTAAAACTATTCTTTGGTTGGTTACTGTCTGTTGATTGCTACCAAGTAGAGTGAGTGCTCAATCATATCACATCATTAATTCCTGTGGTTTTTTTCTTCAATATGTAGTTTCTTCAATACTTGAAAGGCCTTTATTTTGAACATTTTGTGGATAGGTACCTGATTAGCAACTGCATCCTTCTATATAGTGATTAGTTGTAATTCAGGTTTTACATCTGTGCCAACAATTTACACATTTCCTCTTGAGTTTTTAACACTGTGATAATGCCAAACAGGTCTTTGCTTTTGTTATATCTAATGTAATAATTAGGTTTAGACTCTTCCTTAAGTTGGTAATTGTTTGATTTAGTTCCTGCAATCTGTTTCCAAAGATAACTTAGTATTTACAATATTTTTAATACTTCATAGAGACCAAGGACAAAGGTATTCAATTTCATATACAGACTCTTTTTCATCTGATGTACATGCTTTGCAGAAAATCTCACTTCATTTTCAAGGGTTGTATCTTGTTAAGCAACATTTTTTATTTTCTTTGGAATACTTTGCAAGGTTGTTCAAATTCTTTCTTGGCAGGCCTGATTATTAGTTTGTACTTGACCTGCTAAACTTTGAGGGTTTTCTTGTAATCCTTGGTAGGAGGGCTTTAATTTTCCAATTTTTGAAAAGCAGTTAGCTATGTGTGTCCCTGTCCACACTGTCCCCAAGCCCCTGCCCAGGGCCTGATCTTTTTGATCCTTAGCAGATGTTTATCTTGGGCTATGGGTAAGTTCTTTAAAATGGTCTTCAAAGTACCTATTGTTTATTTGCTTAAAGCTGTATATTTCCTTTTTAGGAATAATGCCCCATTTTTAAGAGTTGACTACTAGTGAGCTTTATAGCTCCCTTCGAAGGCCAGAGTGATGGTGCTGCCCAGTTTGGGAGGACTATCAAAGACAGCTATCTTTGATATTTAAATGTTAAGCAAAATCCAGGAAGAGATATATATTCACATATAACATCACCATGATTATTCTTGGTGTTTTATTTTTATATTTTAATTAAAACTATAATTTATCTAAAGGGCTCATAAAAGCAGTTCCTCATTGTTTGGATCATGGCTTGCTGCAGCATCAACCTTCTAGGCAGGCCCAAGTCGTTCTCCCACCTTAGCCTCCTGAGTAACTGGGACTACAGGTGCGTGTTGGCTAATTTTTTTGATTTCTGGTAGAAACAAGGTCTCGCTATGTTGCCCAGGCTAGTCTTGAACTCCTGAGCTCAAGCGATCCTCCCACCTCAGCCTCCCAAAGTGTTGGGATTATAGGCCTGAGTCACCAGGCCCAGCCTACAGAGGCTCTTTCAATATAATGTATTTACGAGTTGGTAATGGATATATTTAATAATGAAGAAAAACTATGGATAAAGAAAAGTGTGCTGGACTTTTAGAGCAAGTAGCTTAAGAAAACAAGTGTTCATAATATTCACCATCTGCTTCAGTCGACTTTTTGAGAATAACATCGTACAGTCTGAAACCCACAGATGTTGGGTTCCATATTTCCTCTTCATAGTCTTGTCTTCTCAGTGTTGCCTGCAGGTCCACGGGCCTTACTGACCTGTGGATGTGGATGGAGCATATAATCCACAACAATCCACATTTTCTGTTTATGCACCTCCCTGCTCCTGCAGGACCTCTAGCCTCCATAAAGTCTCCCTAATCTTTTTATGTCCGCGTCCCCAGGAATGTCTTCTATGTACATGTGAATTACTGTATCAGCTAGTTACCCTGAAGAGTCTTCTCCATCTCTGTCTACTGCTTGCTCCCCTTCTTCATAAAACCTCTGTGAGGGGCTCATGATTGAGATTCTAACTCCAGTTAGAATCCTCATGTCACATGTCTAGAGAGATCGTTCAGAGCCCTCTACGTTGCCAGCCCTTGAGGAGAGGGGAGGATGTTCCTCAGGTCACACTTTGTAGTTGCGGTCCCAAGCCACGTTGCTCATGCACTTCCCTCACGTCACTCCTACACTGCTTCATGGGCTCAGAAACTGGGAATTTATCCTGGAACAAGGACACAGAATATGATCCTCTGTCCCTGGATTCTGTGTATATCCACTTCTCTATCCCATATTACAGAAAACAGTACAACACACAAACACTCATATTCTCATCCTTGACCTGACAAAAATTTTCATGTAGATGGATGCCTATGGGTTCACTGAATTTCTGCATCATGATAGGTCTTATTTCTTTCAATTCTTTGGGGGACTCTTATAGAGGTAAATGAAGATCCAGATAAATTACTTCATTGTATAAGTTATAGTAACTTTGACATAGTTACACAAGTGTCTGGCTCACACCTGAATTTCTCACTTTAAAATATATGTGTTTTGAATATGACCATGATTTGCTGTTTTAAATTTCAGTGTGTATATACATGCCAATATGTATGTGCATATGAATTAGATACAGAGTAGTATACAGTGTGTATATATATATATACATGTGTGTGTGTGTGTGTGTGTGTAAGAATCAGATACAGAGTAATATACATATATGCAGATTGTATGTATGAATCAGTAAAATGTGTGTATGAAGCAGATGGAGGATAGTGGAATGTATGTGTATATGAATCAGGATATGGGAGTATAATGTTTGTGTCTATGTATATATGAATCAGAAGCAGAGTACTGAAGTGTGTGTTTTTGTTTGAATTGGGCAGACAAGTATGTGTATGTGTGTACATGTATATTTGTGTATGAGTCAAAAACAGTAGAATAACGTATACATGAGTGTGTGTGAATCAGACTTAGAGTAGTATGATGGGAAGAATGCAGGATGAATAAAACTAACATTGATTCTGAGATAACTTAGTACCTGTGTGACTTTGTGACTTTGTACAAATCACACAGACTTTCTAGACATCATTAGTACAGTGTGAGATTTTTAGATCTAAGGTCCTTTATGGTCTAAAATTTGATGGTTAGTACAGTCAGCATCACAAACTACTCAGCCTATTTCATTCCTCTGTGAATTATTGTGTCTGTAATGACATTTATAATTGACCTTTCAGCATTCAGAATCTCCATTGTGTCTTTGTTTATTAGCCTCTACAGCAGAGAGACATGATAACTCTTAATTTCAGGGTCATGTCTCTGGACTATGTCCAAAATGTCCCTGGTTATTATAATTCTGGACTCCAATGCTTCTTTGGATGTATCATCAACACCAAATTTTGTAAGTCACTGGATTAACATAAACAAAACGATTGCAGCCACCCATGTCTCATTTTGCTAAAGTTATGTGACTTTATAATACTTAATATTGAGTGAGTGAAATCCACGAAGACACTGTTCATGCCTGTAGAAAATCATATGTAATACCTGCTACATGCAAGGTACTAGGCAAATGTTTATGGAATGAACAAATCATTGTATGGTAAAATGCATTTTAAAAATATACAGTTATATATGAGCCTATGTGTTCTCTGAGAATCCCTGTGATGTTTTTCTTGGTGATGGAGAGGGGTGGTTTTCCATCATCACCATTGCAAGATGGCAGTGGTATTTAGATGCTGTTTGTAATGGACAGATAGTGAGAGGAACTGAGGGGTGCTGGGAATAGAATGTTTGTGATTTTTTTCCTCTTTTGGGGACAGGGATATTGCACCCCTTTTAGAGGAACCATCTTAAACCAGTGAACCAAATTATTTTATTAGCTCATGTCTATAGAATCATATGGAAGCTTCTTCTTTGGGCATAAATTTTGTGTCCACAGGGCACTGAAGCAGTTAATCTAAATGCTGTCTTTTGGAATCAAAGGGCAGCTTGGGCACAGCACTGAATTAGGAAACTGGAACATCAGAAAGTTCTAGTTTTCTTGCAGTATTTTTTTGCTAGTATGTGGTAATTACAAAAGGAAGTGAAAAACTATAAGGGAAAATTATAAATACTAAAATAAAATTTGGTAGTCTAATACAGAACACCTTTTTTAGTGCATGAGTACCTTATACTGTAAAAAAAATTTCAAATCTATTTGAGTATTAATCACTAAAGTTTGCTGTGATTACAGGACATTGCCTTTAAAGGCCCCCTGTCATTTTATGCTGAGTACATGTAGTGGTAGTTAATTTTTACTTTGATATTTTCTGTTGACCTCCTTACTTGTGGGAAAGGAGTAAACCTGAGAAATAAGACATTAAAATCTTGGCTGATTATCAGTTATTAATACTATTCTTGAGGAAGATATTTGGCCCTAAGATAAATGAAATATGAAGGTTGTTAAATAAGGTTAATTTACCTAGCAGTTTTGATGTCCTTGAAGGTTAGCATAGGAAATAATAGTGCAGTCTGAATGCATGGTATTGGCTTTAGGGTAGCTCTTTAGTTCAAGCCTCCTTAAAGCATTTTGAAACGTTTGCATTAAGTTTGTGCTGAATTGACTCCCAGAAAGGAGACTTCTTCCAGAGTCAAAATGAAACTAAGTATTCATATTAGAGGATGGTGGGGAGAAAAAAAAATGTCTTCCACTCAGGAGCAGACTGCATTAGAGTTCTGCCAACTGGCCTGTTTGTGAGAACTAGTGAAGTCATCAAGCCTGAGCTATTTTAGCACCCTGACATGGTGCACCGAGGCAGCTGGAGGTGCGGCACAGAGGAAGCTCGGAGAGAGAGGTTTTTCCGAAGCAAAAAATTTTCCTGCTGACTGACAGCATCACCATTTCACACCGGCTGGGGCTCTGACATCTCTGGGAAGCATGAGGGCTTGTGTAATGGCCCACACAGAAAGTGGGTGAAGAGGATCTCTAGCCTTTTCAGGTTATTTCAAGTGGGGTCTCATTGTCAAGGGACCAACCATCCAACAAAATAGGTTCCTGTGGGTTAGGAAAATGGTGATGGTGAAAAGCTGGAGATGAAATCTTTTGTTTCTAGAGCTAGATGGATTTTTTCGTTTTTCTTTTTTAACACAAAAGGGTCAGAAATGCAAAGGATGCCCTTTGCTGACACAGCTCTGTAAGAGATTACAAGCAAAACAAAGACAGATTTATAGATAATTTATCAGCATATTGAAGACAAATTGAATATCATGCTGCACAGTAAATTACTTCAGAACAACCCCAAAGTGGAAGAAAATACTTGTAAATTGCATTTTTAAGCCCTTAAGAACAAGTTCTATCACTTGTTTAAAAAAATTGTTTTGTAACATGAAGTGCATTTTAATTGTCTGACTATGAACTCTTGCCTTATGGGCTCAGTCACTAAAGATGCTTAAGAGAAAAGCATAAATGAATACTTGATTGATCATAAAATCATCTACAGGATGCTGTTTTAACCACTTCCGAAACGATCTAAAAGTGTACACAGCTTCATCCCTTTAGAGACTTAGAAAAAGTCCAGATACATCAACCAAATAGAGACAAATATAGAGAAAATGAGAGACTAAGTTTTGAGTGTAAGAAATTAACTCATTTTGAGCTTCACTGATGAAAAGCAAGATTTTAAAACAAGAGGTGCTCCATGATGAGTCGTTTTTTACAATAAGGAATGAAGCAAAGCAGACACTCTTTAACATGGGTGCACTCAGGGGTCAGGGCTATGAAAGCTGCCAGAATTCAACCCTGATTTAGCAATGAGAAGCCAGAGACAGGAAGCTGCCTTGTTTATTAGAAATAGGGTAACCACAGTCTCAAGACAACTGAGGAAGACTCTGCTGGCACTTTTCTTCTGAAAGCAAGCACTAGTGCAAAAAAACCCCACCAAAGTATGTAGTATAGGTGTTTATATGTGACTAAGGCTTATGTATTCATATATTCTTTTGTTTACTTCTTAAAATTTATGGTTAGAAAGGCACAACTTTTATATTTTTTCCAGTTAAAAGTTTCAGAAAGCTATCATATAACGTCAAGGTATAAAAATCATGTGTGACCTTGATTTCTACAATACTTTACGTATTCAAAGTAGTTGAACCTTTATTTAGGAGGATGCTTCCTTCAAATTAAAGACTTTTGCTCAGAGAGTGCCACCATGTTTCAGTGGGAAAAGGATCAGATTAGCCTCGGGATACTTGGAAGTTATGGCAGAGGTTGCAGAGTAATTTTTCATTATTTGCTAGAACTTGGGACATCATTGGGATTGTTTTTAATCACAGGTGAAGAAACTGAGACCCCAGAGTGTTTTTTTTATCTGTGGTCTCACAGTCTAGGAAGTATCATGGAAATTAGATGGATGAGTCTAATTGAAAGTCACTGTGTGCAATAACTGGCGTGCCACTTTAGAGGGCAATTAGGAAAAACTGTAGTATGCTTATATTAAATTTTTCTGGACCTTGATTTCATCTGTCTTTGGAACTTAGAAGTTTCTTAAGGATCATGAAATTTGTCTTAGTGATTAAAAGCTAGGCTCCAGAACCCACCTATCTGTGTTTGAAACCTAGTTCCTCCCTCAGTGTTACATGACCTAGGCTAAGTTACCTAACATATCAGGGCCTCAGTTTCCTCATTTATAAGATGACCTTATTGATAGAACTTAACCTTAAAGGATTGTTGTGATGTTTTGAGAGAATATATCTGAAATGCCTCATTTGGTACCTCCTACATAAAAAGACCAAAGTTAATGTGAACTCTTGCTATGATGAATGTTACTTTATTGTACAATGCCTCAAGGCCTTGATTCGATAGCTGCATTTTTGTTTGTGTTGAAAGTATTGGACCACACATGGTAACCCAGGGACCAAGGTCTAGACTTAGCCCATGAGATGGTACTATTCCCCTCACCCTTGTCTACTAGAAAATAATTTCTCTTCTGGTAGGAAATAAGTGCTCTATCAATAGTGAAGTGCTTTTTCAGGAGTAAAGTTCAAGAAGTTAAAACCTGTGAATAGAGATCAGTGAACATTTTAGAAAATAGAAAACGACCACTCCTATTCAACAGAGTACTGGAAGGCCTAGCCAGAGCAATCAGGTAAGAGAGAAATAAAAGACATCCAAATTGGAAAAGAGGAAGTAAAATTATCTCTGTTCACTGATGGCATGATCTTATACCTAGAAAACCCAAAAGACTTTTTGGAAAGGCTCCTAGACTTGATAAACAACTTCAGTAAAGTTGTAGGATACAAAACCAGTGTACAAAATTCAGTTGCATTTCTGTACACCAGTAATGTTCAAGCTGAGAACCAAATCAGGAACTCAACCCCATTTACAACACACACACACACACACACACACACACACACACACACACACACACAAAACCTAGGTATACATTTAACCACGGAGGCGAAAGATGTCTTCTTAAGAAGAAGTTCTACAAAACACTAATGAAAGAAATTTTAATTGATACAAACAAATGGATTGGAAGCATCAATATTGTTAGTATGACCAAACTGTCCAAAGTAATCTACAGATTCGACACAATTTCTATGAAAATACCAAAGTTATTCTTCACAGAATTAAAAAAAAATCCTTAAGTTTATATGAAAACAAAAAAGACCACGAGCAACCAAAACAATCCTAACCAAAAAGAGCAAAGCTAGAGGCATCATGTTACTTGAATTCAAATTATACTACAAAGCTATAGTAACTAAAACATCATGGTACTGGTACAAAAATAGATGCATAGATCAATAGAGAAAAATAGAGAACCCAGAAATCAAGCCACATACTGCAACCAACTGATCTTTGACAAAGTGGACAAAAATAAACAATGGGGAAGTGGCACTCTATTCAACAAATGGTGCTAGGAAAATGGCTGGCTTTGTGCAGAAGAATGACACTGGACCCCTGTCTCTCACCATATACAAAAATTAAGATGGATTAAAGACTTAAATATAAGACCTGAAACTATAAAAGCCCTGGAAGGTAAAACTCTTTTGGATATTGGCCTAGACAAAGAGTTTATGGCTAATTCCCCAAAAGCAAATGCAACTAAATCAAAAATAGACAAATGGAACTTAAGTTAAAAAGCCTCTGCACAGCAAAAGAAATAATCAACAAAATAAACAGGCAATCTACAGAATGGGAGAAAACATTTGCAAATTATGCCTCTGATAATAAAGGACTAATAATATCCGGAATCCACACAGAATTCAACAAGAAAAAAAACTCCATTAAAAAGTGGACCAAGGTCATGAACAGACACTTCTGAAAAGAAGACATGTAAGTGGCCAACAAACATGAAGAAATGCTCAACATCATTAATCAGAGAAATGCAAATCAAAACCACAATGAGATATCATCTTACACATGATAATAATTGTCAGAATAGCAATTATTAAAAAGTCAAGAAACAACAGTTGTTGGTGTGGATGCAGAAAAAAGAGAATGCATGTATACTGCTCGTGGGAACAACTAGTTCAACCCCTGTGGAAAGCAGTTTGGAGATTTCTCAAGAAACTAAAAATAGAATTGCCATTCAACCCAGCAATCCCACTGCTGGGTGTCTACCCAAAGGAAGATAAATCATTCTATGAAAATGCTTGCTCTTGTGTGTTTATCGCAGCACTATTCACAATAGCAAAGTCATGGATTCAACCTAAATGTCTGTCAGCAGTTGTCTGGATAAAGAGAATGTGGTGTATACACACTGAAATACTATGCAGCCATAAAAATATGAAACTGTTGTCCTTTGCAGCAACATGGATGAAACCTGAAGGCCACTATCCTAAGTGAAATAAGTCAGAAACAGAAAATAAAATACTGCATGTTCTTATAAGTGGGAACTAAACAGTGGGTCCACATAGTCATAAACAATAGACACTGGGGGACTCCAAAAGGCAGGAGATTAGGAGGGGAATAGGGCTGAAAAATTACCTTTTGGGTACAATGATCATTTATGGGTGATGGGCTCATTAGAAGCCCAAACCCCAGCATTATGCAATATATCCGTGTAACAGTCCTGCACATGTGTACCCTGAATCTAAAATCAAATCAAATAAGTAGAAAATAAGAACAACAATCCAAGTTCATAGTAGCAGGTCTCATTCATGATCATCTTATACTTTAAAATGTCTTTCCTTCTTTTACACTCTGCTGTGTATGGCTATGCATTTTTATATGTGTGTTACTTTTGCATATATTATTTAAATGATAAAATTATGAGCCTGTAATCCCAGCACTTTGGGAGGCCGAGGTGGGCGGATCATGAGGTCAGGAGATCGAGACCATCCTGGCTAACACAGTGAAACCCCATCTCTACTAAAAATACAAAAAAATTAGCCGGGCGTGGTGGCGGGCGCCTGTAGTCCCAGCTACTCGGGAGGCTGAGGCAGGAGAACGGCGTGAACCCGGAGGCGGAGCTTGCAGTGAGCCGAGATGATGCCGCTGCACTCCAGCCTGGGTGACAGAGCGAGACTCTGTCTCAAAAAAAAAAAAAAAAAAAAAGATAAAATTATGAGATAAATTCCTTCACACCCATTTTGCAGATGAGGAAACTAAGGTTCTGAGAAACTTATCAAAGATTATATAGCTGGCCGGGCACAGTGGCTCATGCCTGTAATCCCAGCACTTTGGGAGTCCGAGGCGGGTGGATCAGTTGAGGTCAGGAGTTTGAGACCAGCCTGGCCAACATGGCAAAAACCCATCTCTACTAAAAATACAAAAATTAGCTGGGCGTGATGGTGCATGCCTGTACTCCCAGCTACCCGGGAGGCTGCGGTAGGAGAATTGCTTGAACCTGGGAGATGGAGGTTGCAGTGAGCCGAGATCATGCCACTGCACTGGAGCCTGGGTGACAGAGTGAGACTCCATCTCAAAAAAAAAAAAAAAAATTACATAGCTATAAAGTGGCTGCATGAACTCTTTCAGTTTTTGTTTTTCCCTGTTTCCAAGTCTCTATCTCTGTTTTCATCTGATTCTTCCCTTCACTGTACATGCTTTGACCTCCTTCCTTCTTACTCTTCATCTTTCTCTTCTCCCTTTGAATGTTACCATTCCCTTATTTTTCCTCATTTCCCTTATGTATAACAAAAATAACTTTCAGGATGTTACTGTCTCTCATTTTTGAATTTTTGTGCTCAATTTTAAGAGCTGATAATATATTCTCTTTTAAAATAGTTGAATAATTTCATCATTGGCAATTTCTGGCCATTGAATTGACTTGTCTCTTCTGTATATCAATGACTGGGGATAAGAAAAGCAACTTGTTATTCCAGTTTAGGAGGTGGAAGTGACTGATTGATATGGTCAAAATTGTCTTTTTTATTTATAGATATTTTGTCTTATACTAGCTGAGTGCTTTGGTCTTAACAGTTACCATTGTAGCCATCGTTTCGATTGCTTTTGTCTTCTCAGAGTGTAGTACATGCTGTAACCTGTTCTTTGGGAGCCCAGTGAGATTAGGGATGGGAGGAGGTCACAGTTCCCTCTCGGTCCCTGGGGATGGGGTGGAGGTTTCAGGCAGCTGGATTTCCAGCTTTGTGTCTGTCTCGCCATTATGAACTGGCTGTCCCTGTTGTACTTTGTCTCCACCCACACAGGAACACAGCCCTTTTCCCTTGCCTTTCTGTTTTTTTAAAATTAAGATCATGTTGGGTAAACTTTATGAAGATAATGAAGATAAGGGCAACAAAAGTTCAGAAGTTCAGAAACAAAAAAGCCTGAAATCGAATATTAGACCATGTTTTTTAAAAGTGCCTCTTCAGGATTCAGCAGCTTGTATCTGGCAGCTCATCATGGCTGGTCTCTCTGTCTCTCACTGCAGAGTACAAAAATAATGTTGAGTCTGAGTTACACAGAGCACTGCAACTTTCTCTGGCTCCTGTGCCCACACCCACTTCTGGGCCTCCTTTTGCTCATCTAGAGACCCATTAATACTTTCTCCAGGTCTTTTCACTCCTTTACCAGGCCCCACAAGGGAGGTGTGTAGGTATGCAGATTTATTTTTCCACTGAGATGAATTTCATCCTTCTCTCCCCTCCCAAAAAAGGCAGACATGGCTCTTAAATATTTTTCCATTCCTCTTTTACACATAGAATTAAAGCCAAAAATAATTATGGTAATCTCGGCTTTTTTGGTCTAGTAGATTTTAGATGAGTTGGGGTTTACTGTAACTTCGAAATAACATTTTTTAGTTCAACAATATAGATGGGTAACACAATTTTTATTTTCACAGATTACTTTTCTGAGCCTATTTGTAGAATAAGCATGGCAAATACTTAGATAAGTTTTACTTCTCCCCTCTGTGCAGGGAGCTCTTCATGTTAAATCGAATTCTCATGCACTCAAAGCGATGGATGTACTGCATAATTTTACACCTAGTGCCGTGTCAGTTGAATTTCTTATTCATCACACACCATATGAAGTGTTATTAATCTTTACTGTAAGTAGAATGACAAGTGAGCAATAAAAGCCAGGCCCTAAAAAACTACCAACGAACATACAGGAACAAATCCCCTAACAGATGCTTTAGAAAGAAGTGACAGTCAGTGAAATTTGGGTTACATGTATGTTGCATAACTGATGGGCTGCTGTGTACACCCAATATGGTTCTTGGTTTTCTTCCTCTTTAAATCACAGTGTGGGCTCCATTCTTGCCTGCTTCTCTCCCTCTTTCCCTCCCTCTTGCTCTCCCTTTCTTCCTCCCTCAGACCTCCTCCATTCCTATATCCTATTTTAAAAACATTTGTGGTTGGGAGCTGCTGGACTCTTACCTCCTTCTGCTTTCCTCTTCTGGCAAGTATCTGCAGGTGTCTGCATCTGAGTTCTCAGGTACACCCATGTTTTCCTGAACTGGGTTGAGGATAGCCTCAGAAGGTGTTGGCACAGCTCATGCTCAATGCTTCTTTCTGTTTCTTCTGCCTCTGTTACCCACCTGTGCACATCTACCACTGTTCTTGGGGTTGTTTTGATATCATTATCCAAGCCTGCTGTTTGTCCTTCCTGGGCCTTACATGCCTCCGTTTATCCTGGCCCCAGACTTGAGGTTTTATATACACTGCTTATTGTCCACCTGCTGCTAGAACAACTCAGTGTTTAGGGTAAATTGTTGTTGGTTGTTTTTTTCCCTCTGCCACCGTTGCTTATCCTACCTTCCAGTGTTACAGGGAAAATTTCCTTTGGACGTATCTTGACTGTCCGTGGTAAGAGCCATGGTGAGCTCTGGCTGCAGAGAAGCTAAGCCCAGGTGAAAACAGAAGAGCTTTGTAAAAACACTGTGGAAGGTTGACTGTGCCTATAGTTTGTTTCCATATTCTTGCATAGATGGTGATGCACATCATATGTGCACAGTGTGATACGAGATCAGACCTACTGGAGCACGCTTTGCAGCTTTCTGTTGCATCTTGTAAAGAACCAAGAAAATACAGTTTCCAGACATCCTCAGATAATCTGATGGCAAAGTAAATAAATGCTTTGTATTGATTTGTTGTTGTGTTCCATCAGTACAAACATTTTTTTTCTTCTAATAAATTGCTTTACAGCTAGGGTTTTGCCTTTTAAAGACATGTAAGTAAATGGAATGGATTTGAGAAATAGAAGTCTAAACTTCCAACTACTTGATGCCAACACTACACGATATTTTGGTGAGAGAGTAAAGGGCAGAATTTGACTTGTTACAACTTTGTTAGCTTTCTTATGGCAGTTTTTCTTAACATGATTTTTCTGATGCTTTAAAAATATTTGGTAAATGTCAGTGGCTGCTGTACAATTGCATATTCTGCTAGGTGCTCTTGAGCAAGATATTTGACGTCTCTTTGTCTTAATTTCTTTGCCCTGTTATTGTAATTTCTTACCTTCTTCATCGCGATGTTCTGATGTGTGTGATGCTGTATTATCATGTTTTGGAATAAATGTCATGTGTCCATACAAAGTATAATACAATGAACTTTTATTTTCTTTAGTATTAAGTCTTTGCTAATTTCAAATTAGTGTATATGTGCACTGAAGATGTTTAAGCTTATGAGTAATTTTTCTTAAGATCGTAGACATTGTTTTTATTTTGGAAAATGAGGTACAAGCAATTCTATCAAGAATGGAAAGTACACGGTCCAGTGAATAAAAGCCAATGGTGTTAATGTAGTTAGCAAAATGTATAGGAACCTTGATATATTAGGAACACCAAAAAATTGCATTAACAAAGGAGGCAGCACAGTTGTGAGAATGGCCCTGGATTCTGATCTTAGAAGCTTATGTGCTCCTGCATTAAGCCTTGAGTTGTTTTTTCATTTGTAAAATGAATCATTTGAACTTGATAATCTTGAAGTTCTCTTTTGTTCTGTCTTTCTAAAACCAAGTATTCACTTCCTTGCTCTTCCTTGCCAGCCTCTCCCATCAGGTCTCGGGCTTGGTCCTCTACAAGGGAATTGATACAGGTCATGGTGAGCTGACTCTCCGTGGGATTTTTATGCTGATGGAAAAACTCCAGCTTCTGACTACAGCTACCCTAATGGCTTTTTTATATTCTGTATCATGTATAAATGATACCAAATTTTTGGCCAAAGCATCTGAAAATTTAAATGATCATTCTGAAGTCAGTTGCTTTGATTTCTCTTTATGAATTGTTCCAGTGGCCTTCACAAGCCTGTCAGTTGTCAGTCTTTGGAGTTAGGAGCAGACTTTATATGTTTTGTTGTTTTCTTTCTTTGGTCTAAGAATTTTCATACTGTGAGTAGTATGAAATACCTATTGAAGATATTCTGGAGCAATTTAAAATTTACAGTGCCCTAAGATTATTTTTATGTGATGAAATACATGCAAATGTTTCTTGAGAGTGGGATTTCATTAAGATATGACACAAATACTTTCTTAATTACGACTAAGAAATATGCCTCTAAATGTTCATAGTAATATTCTGTACCCATTAATCCCACAGAATGAATTTATCCTTAGTTCTTTTAATGACTATGTGTCTCTAGGTCCCATTTTACCATTCATTGTGACTAAAATGCAGACATGCCACAAAGTTTTCTGCTTTCCCTCCACCTCATTCTCCCTCTTAACAATGTACTGATATAATTTTAGGCAATATTTTAAAAACATTTCTAGTCCAAGAATATTCATGCAATAATTCAAGCTTGCAACCATTCATTCTATACTTATTACACATCTGCTTGTGCTGAGTCCAATTTTCCAGGCATGTAACCTCCACCTTTGCAAAGCATTATTCTGGCTATTATGGAAGCCAGTGGTTAACTGTTTCAGGGTCTGACTGCTTGGGTTTGTATCCTGTTCCAGTGCTTGCTTAATGTGTGTCTTTGAGCGGGCTTTTAACTTCTCTATACTTTAGTTTCCTCATCTATGAAACAGCGATGTGAACCCTAGCTCATTAGGTTGTTAAGAGCATTAAATTAATTAATACATGGGAAGGACTTAGGACAGTGCCTGACACATGATCATCCTTGTTGTTAGTGGTAATGGAAGGAAAGACAAAGAAAATATATGGTATTTCTTGTTAGCATGATTTTTATAGTTTAATGAAAGGTGAGAGATCTCTCTCTTACAAGGAATGTATATTTAGTATAAATAAAGTATGTGTAGGATATAGTCAGTTTTTCACCATAAATGGCAAATGGAATTTTTCACTATCAATGCTGTATTCAGTAGAATTGCTTATGTGCAGTATTAAGTATACTTTGAACATAATTTATTCTTAATTATTTTAGGTATTTTCATTTATTACAGCAAGTATTGAAAGATGTTCATTATCAACATACAACCAGATTGAAAATAAAATCTAGATAATATAGTTTCCTGATTGACACAAGGGCCCTCCTGGTGCGGAATAAGTACACATGTGCATTCTTAATGACTTCTTGTATGACGGTGGTGGATAGAGCATATGGTAGCCAGGGAAGACTGATGTTTTAGAGGGAAAACAAGATATTTCATTGGCAGAGATTATGAGGAAAAACCCTACTAGCCAGGGAGTGGAGTATTTTAGAAGTTTATGAGGCAGAAATGAGGAGATGATACACAGGGGAGAGAGAGCCAGTTGCCCTTCAACTTTTCATCTCAGCTGTAGTAATGGGAGGGAAGGACAGACACCAGTAAGGATGTCCTTTTGTAGAGGCAATGACGTTTGATTTCACTTGATTCTTTACTTATGGCCGTGATGTGCAAATGTTGACTCTGGCACATTGACTTTAAAACTTAGGAAGCTAGAGTGGAAACTTGCTTAAGAATTCTCCCTTTGAATCATGTGTCATGTGATCTGGCCGCCACATGATGGTGGAGTGTGGCGCTGGGCTGGGTAAATAATGTGCCTCCCTGCCTAGTAACTTGATTCTCAGCTTTAATAAGTTGGCTCATTGTTATTTCCTTTCTGTAGTGTCCGAAAACTTATTTTCAGTAGAAAATAGTCATCTCAAGAATGGGAGTAATAGAAAACTTAAAAAAAAGAGTAGACGCTTCCAACAATTATTTTAAAATGTAATTCTCAGAATTATCTAATGAGTAGCAGGTAAACCCAGGCAGCGTGACAATTCCTGTCTGTGGCCCAGTTTTTTTGGAGAGACCTACACAATGTGCACAATGTTTCTGATGCCAAATGATGGGCACATGGAGCTGTTTTCTGTTTTCTGAGCTTTAAAACCCTGGTATTTATAGACTATGGTTTAATTCTCAGAATCACTCTAAAAAGTTAGTTCTTTCTTTTTTATATATAAGGAAACTGAGGCATAGAAAGGTAAAATTTAAGTCATACACCTTGAAGGTTTTGGAGCCAGACTTTGGAATCTTTATCTTCTTTTTTTTTCTTTAAGTTTCATTTTATGTTTATTGATACATAATAATTGTACATATTTGTGGGGTATACTATGATGTTTTGATAGTTTTATACAATGTGTAATGATCAAATTAGGGTAGTTGGCAAATCCATCACTTCGAACATGTATAATTTCTTTGTGGAGAACATTCAAAATGCATTCCTCTAGCTGTTTTGAAATACACACTATATTATTGTTAACTATAGTCACCCTACTGTGCAAAGGAATGTTAGAACTTATTCTTCCTGTATAACTCTAACTTTATGGGATTTTTATCTTACGATTCCAAGTTCCCTTTCCTTTTTACTTGATCCTACTTCTGTTTCTTTCTAACTTGATCCCAATTCTTTCTCCCCCTTTCTCTTTTTTTAGGGGCGGGGTGTGATGGCGAGTGGTGATGGTATGTTTGATCATCTGATGTACATGGTTGAGTCTGTTCTATTCCTCAGTTCATGCCCCACCACTCTTACTAGTACCAGGAAGACAAGACACCTCTGCTGTTTCACTCATTTTACTTTCTTTATCTTCATTCCCCAGTTCTACTCTTCTTCCTGTTTCATGCCCCTCCTCGCACCACCACCCAAGCATACTTTCCAGTTTGCCTGAAATATGTCCCTAAATGTGCAGAGTTCTTACAGAGTTGGTAGCGGAATTCCACTGTGTGTGTGTGTGTGTGTGTGTGTGTGTGTGTGTGTTTGTGTGTGTATGTATACACACACCACATTTTCTTTATCCATTCATCCATTGATGGACAGTTAGCTTGGTTACAAATATTGTGATTACTGCTGCAATAAACATGGGAGTGCAGATAATCTAGTTAACATACTGATCTGATTTCATTTACTTTGGTTACATACTCGGTAGTGGGATTGGTAGATCATATGGTAGTCCTGTTTTTAACTTTTGAAGAACTTACACACTTTTCTGTAATGGCTGTTGTAATTTCTGTTCCCACCAGCAGTGTAAAACGGTTCCCTTTTCTCCGCAGTCTCACCAACACTTGTTATTTGTGTTTTTGATAATGGCCATTCTAACAGCTGTGAGATGATGTCTTGTTGTTTTAGTTTGCACTTCCCTGATAATTAGTTGTGTTGAGCACCTTTTCATGTAACTATGAGCCATTTCTACGTCTTTTGAGAAATGTCTGTTTAGATTTTTTTTGCCTGTTTTCTTGCTATTGAGTTCCTTTTATATTTTGGATATTAACTCCTTATCAAATGAATGTTTAGCAGATATTATCTCTCATTCTGTAGGTTGTCTTTTCACTCTGTTGACAGTTTCCTTTGTGGTGTAGCTTTTTAGGTTGATGGAATTTCATTTGTTGATGTTTGCTTTTGTTGCCTGTGCTTTTGGGGTCATATTGAAGAAATCATTGACCAGACCAATAACAGTAATTTTTTCTGTGTTTTCAGTTTCTGATGTTGTTATCCCTGCTTCAAACCCAGAATTGTCTGATTCTCCTCTCAATGCGTTCAGATTCCAGAGGTGTCTGTCAAGTACATCTTCTTGGGGCCATCAGGTGTGCTTTGCCTTGTACACAGCCCTCATCCTCAGGCTTACCTGTAACCATCCTTCCCTCCCTGTGTGTCCTTTGTCTCCTCATATCAAGATTTTTTCCTTCTTTGTGTACTCTCTTCTTTGCTAAGCATATCATCCTTTCTGAGGAGGGAGATTGTAGGAGAGGTGAATTTTTTCAAATCCAGCATGTGTAAAATATCTTAACATTTATACAAGACCGATAATGTAGTATGGTCTATAACTGAAGATTGGAAATAATTTTCCTTTGGGATTTCAAAGCATCCTTCCACTCTAGATTACATTGGGATGCCATTAAGATTCCCAATACATTTGTCAGTTACTTTTCTCTCCCCACTCTTTTTTTTTCTTTCTCTCTGAAATCTTGTAGAAGTGTCTTGTTCCAGATGTTCTGAATTTCTCAATGACATGCCTTTATGTGGCCTGTTTTTGTCAAGTTTTGCAGGATACTCAGTGGGCCCTATCATTCTGTAAACGTAAGTCCTTCCTTTAGGGAATTAAAAACAACAACAACAACAACAACAACAAAACCACCATCACCAGAAATCTCATGGTATCCAAATTGATTCATTTACTGAGTTCAGATGGCAAGCAACAGTGTTAGGACATGTCAGAGGATTGGGGTACTGTTTCTTCCAAAGATACTATTGCAGAACTTACTTTCCTCTTCCTTTTGGTTCCTGAGTTCGGAGAATGAGAATTTGAAGAGCAAGGGATCCCCTATTTGGTTGATGCTGTTCTTATCTCCATTTTCTCTCTTCTCTCTTTAGCTCTCATTCTCAAATGTTGGATTATCCCACGCTGGAATTCCAATTTTATTATTATTTTGCTCCTGTTTTCAGTCTTGTTCTGCTTTCTGAAAGACCACATCATCATTGTCTTTTTGTCTTCTTATTTATTCTTTAATTTTTACTATCATATTTTTAATTTCTAAGAACATTTTCTTGTTGTTCTGAGAATAACACTTTTTTAATGACGTCCTCTTATTTGGTGAGTGCATTAATAATGTCTGTAATCTCTGTGTGGGGCACTAAGCAGCTTCCTGAAAGCTCTGAGCTAGTCTGTGCTCTTCTCAGCAGAGTCACCTGGCTGGGCTATTATGTGTTGCACCCTTGATGGCAGGAACTGTCTTTAGGCTTGAGTCTAGGGCTAATTAGGTCTTCCATAGAAAAACCTTTCAAGCTTCTGCCTACCATTGTAGACCAGGCTGCCAGCAGTTTGCAATTTGAATGAGAAGAAACTGGACATCTTATCACTCTTTGTTCCCTCACTCTGTTCTTGGTATGATTTTCTCTTGTACAAGATGTCTATGGAGTCTCTCAGTGGAGGCCCTTTGTTTGACTCTGCACTAGCAATAAACTGCTAGACTTCTGGGGCTGAGAAGGACAGTCCTCCAGCTGTGTTCACGAGGATATGTGGAAATCTAACTAATTCTCAAGTGGACTGTCAATCAGTCTTCCTCATTTTAGCTAGACTTTTACCGCCATTTCTGGTCGTAGGGAGCTGAGAGTGTCCCAGATTCTGGGAGGTTTTGTTGGCTGTGTCAGGTTGCTTGTTATTTTTCTTCACAATTGGCCGGCCTCCCTCATTCGGCTTTCCAGGGTCTGCCAAATCATTTCTTCCACTTACTTTTTAACCTTTTCAGAAATCTTGTGCTTATTGACTTATCTCACATTCTGTATCTAAAGAAAAATCTATTCCATCTTACTTTATTTGAATTGGGGAGAGAGTGCAAGTCAAGGTTCATAATCAGTCTGTTTTCTTTACTCAGAAGTCATATTCTAGTTGGCCATTTAAGTTTCCCTTTCTGTCAGTTATTTATGTTTTACCAGGGCTTTGTTGGGTTTCTTGACTTATTTCCTTATCTATTCCAGAATTTAATTCCTTATTAAATTCACATTCTTATGTTAGCAACTTTGGGCCACATGATAAAGCTCTACTCTCAATGGTCTAAAATGTGAAATTAGGTGTTAATATTCTGTTCTCTAAGTATGTGTCATTGCTGTATGGGATTCCCAAAACATAAATACTACAGTGATTTAATGCCTAAAAGTTCTCATTTTGGGAAAAAAAAAACAGTCCTTGAGAGAACAGCAATTATGTAGCATATGATTTGTGATAGTTGTCTTATTGGAAGTTACAGAAACCCAGCTGTGAGAGAGGCTGAGTGTCGCCCAGTCTATTCCTTCCTTTCTTCTTCCGTGACAATAGAATTTTCATTGTGTGTGTGGCTGCTTAGAATAAAGATGACGTATTCCAGCCTCTACATGTGGCCAGCAAGTTCTAGCCAGTGAGATGTAAGCTGATGTATAGTGAGCAGCTTGTAAAGCTGCTCCACCTGTAAAGTCCCCCAGTACATTCCTTTTACTCCACATTGTCCTTCTTTCTTCAGTTCTGTTGCCTGGAATGTGGGTGTGACAGCTGGACGTCTGTCTCAGTGCTATATTGAACCATTTGGGTGTGTCCCACCCTGGGCATGGTGGAGCTATGAGCTGGAATGTACATGAGTTCTGTGAGGCTTGGGGAAGCACAGCTTCCATACCCTTGACTGCCTGACTTTGCACTTGGAATGCGAGAAATAGAAACTTCAGTAATGTCTAAGCCACTGTCCTTTTAAGTTTGCTGACACTTGCAGCCAAACCTAATCTTAAATGATACACTAACTGAAACTTGTTTAATCAAAAAAGCGTTTATGGAATGGGACACGTAAGAGGTGAAGCCGTGTTTAAGAACTGCTGCATGTGGCAATTTGACTAGTATCCTTAGTACTCTCTCTATTCACTTCTTGGTTACTTTATTTATTTTTGCCTCTGTTTGCTTTATCTTAGGCTATCAAAATGTGGCAGCAATACAGCTGCTGGTTGCCTCAAATTTCCATCATAAAGTTTTTTTTTTTTTTTATTTGAGATGGAGTCTCATTATGTCGCCCAGGCTGGAATGCAGTGGCTGGATCTCGGCTCACTGCAAGCTCTGCCTCCCGGGTTCACTCCATTCTCCTACCTCAGCCTCCCGAGTAGCTGGGACTACAAGCCCCCGCCACCACGCCTGGCTAATTTTTTTTTTTTGTATTTTTAGTAGAGACGGGGTTTCGCCGTGTTAGCCAGGATGCTCTCCATCTCCTGACCTCGTGATCTGCCTGCCTCGGCCTCCCAAAATGCTGGGATTATAGGGGTGAGCCACCGCGCCTGGCCTGGCTTTTTAAAGCAAGCACTTTTCTGATAATTTAACACTTGGCCTGGTCACCTATTTCCTAAATCAATCAAGGTGACTAAGGGGCAAATCCTCACAGCTGTTAGGCTTGGGTCATATGACCACTGCTGATGTGGAGGGGAGGGGACATCCTTACCCAAGCATGTAGACTAAGTGGCATTTCTCTGGCATAGAGGAGGACTGGTTGGAGAGGATTCTCGGAAGATAAATATACATCCAGTTGCATTATATACCATTTAGATTTCATAATGCTGTGGTTTAAAAACCAATATATATGTTAATTTCTTGATTTTTTTCCTGTTTTTCAGTAGTTCTTTCCTAAGAAAACAATGAATATTAAAGTCAATAATTTATAGGAGAATCAATGATAGTGAAGAGATAAAAAATAAAATTTAAGATATATAATTTGGTATTTTAAGTCTTATATGGTATAGTAAGGAAAATGCAAAATATTCTTTGCCTTTATAGGACACAGTAGTAATATCAAATGAAAGTATCTGTGGTTAAAAAAATCATAACATTTGTCTAAGTAATGATCATTTATGTTAGTTATAATGAAACATTCCTTCTTAGAGTGGTTGCAGTGTATTTATGCAAACTGTCACAACTACAGTTAAGAAACTAATAATCTTATATGATTCACTTCTGATTGTAATCTCTTACAGTAACTCTCTTTTTTCTAGTATCCTCTCCAAGGGTCCCACCCAGTGACATAGTTGTTCAGTCTTTTTTCTTTTCCTTTCTTCTTTTTTCCTGGATGGAAAAATTCTTTGGAAAGAACCCTCTGAAGTGAAATGGAATGCTTTCCTTTTTCAAAAAAGTGAAAAAAATGAAAGCCTATAATATTTATTTTTAAATTTATTTTAAATTTTTAAGTGGTGTAGCCTTTTAACAAACTATGTGTTTCCATAAACTTCTGAAAAATTTAACCTTGTATGGAAGGCAAGGCAGGAATTTTTAAAAATAAACTTTATTTTTTGGAGTTGTGGATTTGCAGGAAAATTGAGAAGATGGCAAAGAAAGTTCCTGTATACCTGATGCCCAGTTTCCCGTGTTGCTAATATCGTAGGTTGGTATGGGATCTTTGTTTCGATTAGTGAACCAATATTGATACATTAAATAAAAGTTCATATAGTAAGTCCTCATTTAAGTCACAGATAGTTCTTAGAAACCCAGAGTTTAAGTGAAACAACGTCTAAACATGCCAAATTTACTATAGACTGATTGATAGGAACAAGAGTTAAGTTCCTATGGCAAATTTCTGGTTACAGAAATATCACCCAGCTTCTAAATAAGGAACAAAACACTTCTAATATTAACCACTGAAATAAATAGGAGCTATACATACATTTCAGAAAGATTAATAAAAATCAATAAGATAATTACTCAGTTATTCCAGTTCAGGGCGGTGGCCAGAGCCCATCCTGGCAGCTTGGAGCGCAGGGCAGGAACAGCCCTGGACAGGATGCCCTCCCATTGCAGGTGACACACACGCACACTCAATCTGGGACCATGCAGACATGCCAGCTTCCCTAATGGGCACAGCTTTGGAGTGTGGGAGCTCGCTGGACTACCTGGAGAAACCCATGCAAATACGTGGGAGAACATGCAAACTCCACACAGACAGTGGCTTGGGCTGGGGATCTATTTTTTTTTTTTTTTCATTTTCGTCAATGCTGTAATCAAATGATGCTGAACAAAATGATGTTATCTGAGAACCTACTGTACTTTATTCAGATCTCCTCAGTTTTCATCTGCAGTCCCTTTTGAGTTCCAGGATCCTGTCTAGCATACCACATTAGGTTTTGTGATCACATCTGACTCCTCTTGGCTGTGACAATTGTTCAGACTTTCCTTGTGTTCGATGACCTTGGCAGTTTGAGGTGTGCTCGTCGGGTATTTTGTAGAGTGTCTCTCAGTCGAGATTCGTCTGATGCCCTCTCATGTTAAGTCTAGGGTGATGAGTTTTGGGAGGAGGACCACATAGGTAAAGTGCCGTTCTCATTACATCACATCAAGGGTACATACTGTCAAAATGACTTATCATCTCCATACTGACATTGATTACCTGGCTGAAATAGGGGTTGTCAGCTTTCTCCACTGTAAAGTTGTTCTTTTCCGTAATAAAGGATTATGGTCTTTATTACTGTTCTCTTGGAAGGAAGCCACTGTGTGGACCCCACACTTCAGAAGTAAGGAATTATACTCCACCTCCTTGGGTGTGAAGTATACACATAAATTATTTGGAATTATTCTGCTTAGGAGATTTGTCTCATCCCCCTTATCTATCTACCTACCTATCACATCATTTTTATATCAGTGTGGATTCATGGATATTTATTTTATATTGTGGATTATAATCCAGTACAACTTTATTTTGTTGCCCAATTTGTTTTAGCTTTGGCCATTGGTAACTTTTTTTTTTTTTTTGAGACTTTCTGTTTTTGAGATGGAGTTTCACTTTGTCACCCAGGCTGGAGTGCAGTGGCGTGATCTTGGCTTACCGCAACCTCTGCCTCCCGGGTTCAAGCGAATCCCTTGCCTCAGCCTCCCGAGCAGCTGGGACTACAGGCGCCCGCCACTACATCTGGCAAATTTTTTGTATTTTAGTAGAGACGGGGTTTCACCATGTTGGTCAGGATGGTCTCGATCTCCTGACCTCGTGATTCACCTGCCTTGGCCTCCCAAAGTGCTGGGATTACAGACGTGAGCCACCATGCCCAGCTTGCCATTGGTAACTCTTTTAGTTGACTTTTGTATCTCTCTGACATATCTCCCTTATTGTATGTCAAACATTTTTTTTTAATTGTACTTCTCTACTTTCTGGTACTTTCAAGATGTGCCATACTCATACCCATACACCATCTTATATATCTCCTGCCTCAGTCCTGGAATCATTCATTTCATCACAGAGCCCTCGTTCCTCTTATTGACAAATGGTATTAGAAACCAAGATCTGGGTGCGGGGTGTGTTTGTTGCCACTGGGGTGTTGCAAGGCAGGCATTTTTATTATCCCATTTTACAGATGAGGAATGGGACATCTCAAATGACAGTGCTAGTGAAGGAAGAGGGTGGGGCGGTTGTGGTCAGTGTGTGGAGTAGGGGTCTTGTTTCTGGGTAGCTTCCTTTTCATTCCTCTTCAGTGTGCAGAGTTTTTCTCTCTCACTGATACTTTTACAAGGTAGTTTATATTCCTGGGCATTGAATCATTCATCTAAGGGCAAGGTATAAGAAAGTTTGTATTAATATTCTGACTGGAGAAATTATTTATTGACCATATCATTCTTTTTGTTTTTTGCAGCTTTGCCAGCAGGCATAGAAATGAAATATTATGTATTAAAGAATATTGTATATTGTTGGTAGCAATAAGAATAGATGCAGAATTCTCTGCAAGATTGTTAGTAAAGATAGAATGCTGTAGGAGTGTTTAATGAATTGAATGCTCTCCCACTCTTCTTTCAACCCACACAGCAATTGCTGTGAGGACCTGCCTAATTTGCCAAAACTAGATCCATTGCCCAATTTTTACAATTTTAGTCTTGATTGAACACATAAATATTATGTTGAGTAGAGAAATGTATGCTTTCCTCAAGGAATTCTAAGGGAAAAACTTAAATTCAGTCACATACTGCTGTTATCCCTTTGTATTAATTAATCAATTTGTGCTTTTAAGAAATGGGAGCTTGGTAGCTTTTATGGGTTGTCGTAGTCAAGGACCAAGATATTTGTATAATCCTGATTCATTACATTTTAGCGAAATATCAAAAATCAGTCAAACCATTACAAAAGCAGAGTGTACACACACACACAGAAACATGCACGCACACATGTTAAATTCCATTTTCCCACTGGGGCCTGTTACATGTTTGTACGGAAGTTGGAATGAGTTTTATACTTGTCTTAGTTTCGTTACTCCTGTTTTAGCACAGAATGGCCTTAGATCAAGCTATTATGAATTATCTTTGTCCTCTATCCCCATAACCATATTTACTCATCAATAAACATATTCCTTTGAAGCATTTGAATGCATTAATTTTTGAGGTTTGAAACATTTAATCTGTCAAAGGATTACTGTCTTTATTTTCCTCTGACCATGAGTGGGATACTTACGCAAGCTTCAGCAGTGCTAGACCCTTATTTCATTCAGCCTTTGAAATTTACAGAATTAATGAAAACATAGTATCTCATGAAGGGAATCTGTTTAACCTCATGGAGAGATTTTTCAGTCTGTCCGATCTTATTTATCATGTGTGGAATCTTTTTGCCCTTTCTTTTTTGTATTAATATTGGAATAATCTTGTGAAAGATCCCCACTAAACTTTGCTACTTTCTTGAATCCTTATTCCTATTTCCCTAGGTTTCTTCCTACTTTGCTGTGTCTCCTGGGATATTGAGGTACTAGAAAGGCTTCTTGCCCATAGAGATTCACTGTGCTGTCTGTTTTAATTTGTGCCTCAGTTAATGCTTTTTTCGTATTCATTTAAAAGCTTTATGAGTTCCTGTTCTCTGAAGCATAGATCTTATCTGTCTGATTGAATGACACATTGCAAATATTTAATATTTCATATTTATGAAGACCTGCTGAATTATTTTATTACCCTTTTGGACATACTTATCGGATCTGTCTTAATTGATGTTAAGACTCGGCAATCCATTAAGTCGTTGAGTCAATTCACATTCAGACTGTACCTAGGATTCTTATGGTCCTAACTCCAGTGATTTTCAACACAGCTCAATCAAGGCAGATACTCTTCTGGTTTTGCTTCTAAAAAGAAGCTAAAAAGCAATCTTTGGGACACTCTGACCTTTTAATGTCTTTGTTACGGTAAAAACATGGAGTGTTACCTGGCAGGGTGAAATGCTACCAGGTCAGATACATTTTCAAGATTGGGTCCTTAACGCTGAATGCACGTGTGACCTTATCTATTCAGAATTGGCCAGTAGCCAGTGGCCAGTAGATAACCTCATTTTTTTTTTTTTTTTTTTGAGATGGAGTCTCGCTTTGTCACCCAGGCTGGAGTGCAGTGGTGCTATCTCAGCTCACTGCAACATCCACCTCCTGGGTCCAAGTGATTCTCCTGCCTCATCCTCCTGAGTAGCTGGGATTACAGGTGCCTGCCACTATGCCCAGCTAACTTTTGTATTTTTAGTGGAGATGGGGTTTTACCATGTTGGGCAGGCTGGTCTTGAACTCCTCACCTAAAGTGATCCACCCACCTCAGCCTCCTAAAGTGCTGGGATTACAGGCGTGAGCCACTACACCCAGCCGATAACCCCTTCTTCATACTGAAGTTATGACTAAACTATACATTACAGAAAATGTTAATAGCAAACACTTGTATAGCACTTATTTAGCACTTATATTTTTTAGATGTTTATATGAATTATGATCTTCATTTTGTAGATGAAATTAAGGAGCAGGGTATTTATATAGCTTGAATACCTTCACACAATAATGTAGTAGAGGAAATATTAGACCAAAGCATTCTGACTCAGGAGATTGCTCTGAAAACTTTGCTATTCTGCCCTGAGTGTTTTCTTTTCTGTTTTGAAGGGGTGTGTGTGTGTGTGTGTGTGTGTGTGTGTGTGTGTGTGTGTAAATCAGCGATCTGGGGAATTTCATAGCTATATCTTTGATTTTTAATTTCTCTTTCATTACGCTGAGCCGTGGATGCTGGTGATTTTGATGAGTTTTAAGAAGGAAGAGTTGCTGCAGCAAATTGAACTCTTAAAAGCCCCCATCCTCCCACTTATCAAAATTTTAGCTCTACTTACACAATGCTTGAATTTGAGAGTAAGTCAGCATCTTAACATGAATGTTGGAAGCCAGTTTCATTTGATAAATATTTATTAATCTCATCCTGTGAGCCGTGTCTTATCTGAAGGACAGTAATCACAAAAAGAGAAATAAAACTCATCCCTGAACTGTGTGGGACAAAGCCAGTCTTTTGATATATAAATACTTCCATAATAAATACCTACATGAGAAACTATACTACAGGGCACATGAATGGTGCAAAATATTGTGGGGATTCAGAGATGGTAGATAATATGGGCATGCTTTTTCTGAAGAAGTTGCTTTAAAGCTAGGATGTGAAGGAGGTGGGATTTCTGTGAGGTATTTGAGGTGGAAGGAGTGATGTGAGCGGAGTGCTAAGGAGGAAAGGTGTGTATAAGTAGTCTAGTGTGGTTGTCAGCTAAGATATCTTTGTGGGGAGAAAGAATTTTGGAGATGTTATTTGGGGTTGTATTGTGGGTTTATTTATTGTCACCCTAGACAACTGTTGCGGCAATGCAAATGGACAAGAAGGGATCAGTTTGAGAGGTTTTCTCAGATAGAACTTGTAGGACTTGGCAACTAATAGAATGGGAAAGGTCTGGGTGAAGGAGGGGTCAAAGATGATGTCAAGCTTTTAAGTTGAGCTTTGGAGAGGGCAGATGGAAATCAGAAAAGCTGGTTTTCATTCTGGCCTGCTTTGCAGAGGCAAGGATTATTGTGAGAGTTGTTATGAACATTTTTGACTTCCTCAGCTTCGGGAATACTGTTTTGTATGACTATATTATATGTAGGGTGTGTATTTAAGCAGAGGGGATGACTCCCTAAAGGAATCATGGAGAAAATGCCTGTTAACAGCTTTCCTGTGTAATGCATTCATTGTGTCTAAGTGAGTTTTTCCAAGAACCTTTTAGTCAGTCTCAAGTTGTTTGAAAATGGAAAAGGTGAGAATTTGTAGGCATTCTGATGTTGGCACTGAGTTTTTTATACTGGAAGTCTTTTTCATTCCTGAAACTGTTCTTGATACAATGGAGGCTCCCCAGGTCTTCTGGAATCCCAATGTCCCAGGCCGGGGCTGCAGATGGCCAGTGCATCCACTAGGGGTGTCAGTCGTCAGGAGTGGTGCCTGGTCTGCATAGCACAGTACCGTATTCCATAGACCAGCAGCACGAGCACACTTTTTCTCTTCCTCATAGATGCCCTCCTTGATGGCATGAATCCTGTCTGTCTGTGACTGTTGAATCCCTAGCACCTGGCATTATGCCTGATACATGTTAGACTAAAAAAATATAAATGAAGTGATAATGTGTTTTTCCCTTAGTCTGTGGCTATCACATCTGTCCTGTTTATTAATAACCCTGTGATATACAGATTTTGAATTAACAGATAAGTTTTGAAAGATAATGTAGTGGCCATTTATTAGGGAAAATTTGAAGAAAGGGTCCTATATATGTGATTTACCATTTATATATTTTAATGCATTAAACCCACAGTTGAATACTTTCATCTAGATTGTCTACTAACCACACTTGGTCTTTGACATCCATGAGTTGGTGTTCGAGCAAGCCATACTTTTTACATTGACAGCCGTAAGTCACTATTTTATACTGAATTTTGAGCAATAGCTCATGTGTGAAAATTGAGGCATGACAGGACAGTGTTATGTGTCAGACAACAGTTTAGTGGAGTCAGCATTACCATCTTTTGTGTCTGTCATCTTGAATGCAGCACTCATCCAAGCTGAGGCTAAAGATGTGTGAAGAATTTCTATCTTTATCCTAATTGTATTACGCTTTTGAAATATAACATTGATATTTCATTTTTTATTTCCCCCTATTTCCAGAAGTACTGTCCATTTTGTAATAAATCTTTAAGGCCAAAGCACAATATCATTAAATAAAAATTATTTTATAATTTTTTACAGAATTATGTTTTTCTTTTTAGTTTTTAAACTTTTTATGTATTTTTATTTTTTATTTCTTTGGAGATGGGGTCTCGTTGTGTTGCCCAGGCTGGAGTATGGTGGTGTGAGACTGAAAAGCTCACTGGCTTCACCTGGCTCAAGCAGTCCTTCCATCTCAGCTTCCCAAGTAGCTGGGACTACGGGCATATGCCAACTTGCCTGGCTATTTTTTCTTTTGGTAGAGATGGGGTCTTGCTGTGTTGCCCAGGCTGGTCTCAAACTGAACTCAAGCACTCCTCCTGCTTCAGCCTCTCAAAGTACTAAGATTACAGGTAAGAGCCACTGTGCCCAGCTGAGAATTATATTGTCTTAATGTAGCATTTTTCAGATGTAATGTTAGGATAGGGAACCCAAAGATCTGATTAGACCAACTTGGCAGAGAGACTAATAAATTAAAATACCAGGATACTGTTAATTGAAATTAATTAGAAGCAAAGGAAAAAAATGCGTAAATAAAATATTAATTTAAAATGAATTTAAAATGAAATCGTCTGCTTTTACAAAACCTTTCCAGGAACACACATATTGTGCAAAGTGAATCCATAGCTGTATTAAAAAAATAGTAATGGCTATTCGAGGTTAATTTTTTTTTTGCTAGTTATAGATATTCAAATTCTAATAGCATAAAGCATTTTTTTTTCCCCTGGGATGTTATCGTCCCTAAGTTTTACATGTTTTAAACTAAGCTGTAAATTTAGCTTGAACAATTTTAATAACATTTCCAAAGATGTATCTTAAAAAGGAATTTAAAAGAAATACTGAGCTTTTGAAGTCAAACACAACCCCCTTTCTTACAAAAGCAGTCAACTTACTTTAACTGAACATTTCTTTGTCCTGAAGTTAGAAATAACTTCAGCAAAAATTTCTCCACAGGGTTGATATTTTAATGATGGGAACCTTAGGTTAATATGTTCATTTTATACTAGTCGTTTATAGTCATTTGTGAATGGAATGGTGATTGACAAATACATTTGCTTTAATGTGGAGCTGGACTATAATATATATGGATCAACTTCAGGTGTTCATGTCTGTCTGTTCTCCATGTCGAGTACGATTGTACCTTCTCTTCCCTCCTGCACTGCTTTTTGTCGTGGATGACCAGGCTGTGAGTTCTTCCAGATCAAAGATCATATCATGTTGTGTCTGTAGCCCCAGCATGTAGAGCAATGCTAGGCAGCAGTATGTGGTTAATAAATGTTGGTTGAATGAATACATGATTGACTGAATGCATGTATGTCTAACAGTGTTTGCAACTGACAGCCTTTTTGAAAAAATTATTTTGAATAGTTATAAGTTCACAGGAATTCCCCCTCCCATTCCTCAGACACAGGAGATTCCTTGTCTCCTCCCTACCAGTTTTCCCCACTGGTAGCATCTTACATGACGTAATACAGTGCCAAAACTAAGAAATTGACATTGGTATAATCCACAGATCTTCTTCAGGATCACTGACTTTACATGCACTCATTTGTGTGTCCTTTGTATCAGTTCTAGGCAGTTTTATCACATGTATTGATTTGCATGGCTACCACCAGAATCAAGATAACAGATCTTGTGTATGTGGGGTTCCATGCCCACAAGGCTTCCTGTGCTACTGTTTTGTAGCTAACCCTGACCCCTCATAACAGGATTTTAATCATCCTGACCTTGTGCTTTACATTAGCTTCTGCATTAACTATGGCATGAAGAACTATAAGATGTTTCTGTTATTAAGAGACAGCAGCAGTGATTTTATCTGTATTCATTGCCCAGTCCACAGATCATCCCTCATCCATGATCAGTTTACACATTTTCTGTTTAAAAAAATTATCTTAAAGTTGGCTTTCCTAGAGTAATGAATTGTCAACATTATCATAATGGGAGTCCACTCCTATTAATCAGAACTTAGAGACCACATGTTGTGTTCATTATCCAGAAAATGTATCAAGTTGCAAAACTTAAGTAGAATGCTAAAAATTGGGATCCACAGTATTAATGAGCTAAAAATTGACAAGTGCATCTTAGAAAATGCTTCTGTGAGCAAAAAAAATTTGCAGGCTCATACGCAATGAATTGGAGTGTTCAACACGGTTTAATTGGCGGCTGTGGATGTCTTGTGCATAATTGAGGTTGTAAAGATGGATGCATGTGGTAGGCATGGGGGGTCTAAATGGGTGAGTGTGTATTGTAAGGGAATCCGTCCCTTCCGACATACTGCAGGCTGGGTTGCAGATACAGTGATCCATGTTTATGTAAGCAAGGTGGAAACTTCTGATCTAGAAGGGAAAAAACAGGTGCTTTTGTATGTTTTTCTTTCAGGAAATAGTTCACATTTTCCAGAAAGAAAAGTTTTTTTTTTTTTTTTTTTGGAGACGGAGTCTTGCTCTGTTGCCTTGGCTGGAGTGCAATGGCGTGATCTCGGCTCACTGCAACCTCCGCCTCCCAGGTTCAAGCAGTTCTCTGCCTCAGCCTCCCGAATAGCTGAGATTACAGGCGCCCACCACCATGCCTGGCTAATTTTTTTATTTTCAGTAGAGACGGGGTTTCACCATCTTGGCCAGGCTGGTCTTGAACTCCTGACCTCGTGATCCACCTGCCTCGGCCTCCCAAAGTGCTGGGATTACAGGCGTGAGCCACGGCTCCTGGCCCAAAAGAAAATCTTTTACGCTTATGTGACCAAGATAAAAACAGACAACATGGTCAAGTTTACACTTGGTTTATAAATTTATCAAAATGAGAGCTGTCTTGTTGGCATAAAACAGAAGGCACTTTTTCTACATCCTCTTCCCTGTCTTATTCTTTCACATTTCATTGTGCTGGAAGATCAGGTTAATGGAACTTCCTTGGGAATTTCATCACCATCTTCTGCTGACTTCTTTTTCTACCCTGCCTCCTGTCCCACCACAGGGATATGCAAAGTGAATGTCTGTTAGGGCAGAAGCCAGCAAGAAAAACCTGTTTTGCAAAGAAAAGCCTCCAGGCCACACTCCTCTGTCATCTGGATAGAAAAATCTTACCACATCCTCAGGTTGAAAAACCTTCTTGGGAATGCTGTGTTCCTGCTGGTGGTGTTCATGTGTTTGTGCGTGCACTGTGTGGGGATCTGGGAGCCTGTGGGTGGGCGTGGGGACAATGAGTCTGGGTGAGTGTCAGGCAAGGCCTTTAAAAATAGCTTGTTTTTCATTTTTTTGGTACATAGCCTCCCTGTTCCAGTTTATTAACAATCAATTTTTAACTCTTATATTAGGTACCGTGGGAAGTTAAGGTCGTTCTTTGAAGAACTAAGAGTCTCTTCAGAGGATTTATCTGCAAGTGGGAGAAAAGGAGATTTACCAGCAATGCAAAATAGGCCATGGAATATTTAAGTATGGAGAGGATACATTGTTGAAAGTATGGAAATGGTCTGAGGAAAATCTGTGAAGACTTAGAGAGTGGGTGGTGTCAGATGGTTCACAAGGAGCTGATGAATGCTAGGCCTTGCGGATAGGAGTGTATAGGAGCATTCTGAGGCAGGAGCTGGGGATGTGGCCGTGGCTGGCTGGTTAATGAGTGCACTGGACCGGTCAGACATCCTGGGTTCAAGTCCTTCTACCACTAGACCTGTTAATTTAAGATGAGGTTCTTCCCTATTAACTCCCATGTCACATTAAAGTTATGAATAGTAAATAAAATGTTTATAGAAAAGTAAAAAAGCTTTCTAAATTGCAAAATCCTATAGAGATTTGAATTGTTACTCTCAAATTACCAGTCTTAGAAATCAAAATTTTAAAAATTTGTGTACAATTTAAAACTGAAGAGCGTCTGAAGAGATGCTGATACTTACCCATTTTTAAGGATATGAAATGACAGCAGATCATTTTAGGATGAAAAATTCATTCCCCTTTCAACCCCTCAGAAATGAATTTTTAGAATGATTATGATTCTCTTCAGCTTTTCTAAAAATTTGTGAGAGAAAGATTACTTCTAAAGAACTGGGTAGTACCAGCTTTTTGTTTGGCTTCATTCAGACATCACATTTAAAAACAAACAAATGAGAACAAAACAAAAAAATGTACTATGAATTTTTCTTCCTCCTTTCTTTTGAGACATATTTATCGAGCACCTATTTGGATGCCAGCTCCTGCAATGGGGATCAAAAATAATCATCATTCTTGCAGTGGTGCAGATAACCACATTAATATAAATTGAGTCAACCCTCTGTTTCCAAGGGTTTCTCATCCACAAATTCCACCAACCGAAATTGAAAATATTAAAAGAAAGACAACATAAATTTAAAAATACAGCACAACTATGTATGTAGCATCTGCATTGTATTAGGCATTATATGTAATCTAGAGATGATTTAAAGTATATGGGAGGATATGCATAGGTTATATGCAAATACTACATGCTACTGTTTTACATAATGGGCTCAAGCATCTTTGGATTTTGATTTGTGGTGGGAGTCCTAGAACCAATAACCGCAAATACTGAGGGATTACTGTATATATGTATCACTTCCACCCGAGAGCTGCTGTTGAATAAAGGGAAAAATTCTAGGCTAGCATATAACAGGAAACTGGTGAGGCTGTGTTCCCTTGAGGAAGTAATATTTGACTACAGATGTGAGGTAAGCTATGGGATAAAAAGGCCTGGAAATCAGAACAGAGGTATATGGGTTGGGATAAAAATTAATTGCTAAAAATAGTGACAGCTATTAAGCCAGTGTATATGATGGGCCTTTTTATAGTATTCTACCTTGGAAGCTTAGACAAATCCTCTTCTATAGCATCTTAATACAGCAGTTTGCCTAGGCATTATGCTTTGTCCAACCTGAGATATTTTCAGAAATAATGCTCTAAGATTTCAGATGTATCTCCCTAATACTTTGCTTCATAAAACCCGAATCAGAGTAATAGACAAAAGGTACTAAAATAGGATTTAAGTGAATATCTTTGTAAATCTGGAATAGAGAAGAACTTTCTGAATGGTGACTCCAAATCTAGAAATTGTAAGTTGGAATTTGACTACTTCAAACACTTTTATAATAAAAGTTTTGTCAGTTTAAATGGCGAACTATAAAGTGGTAAAAACCATTTACAACATATATGACAGTGAAAATATTTTTCATGAAGAAACCTCTTAAATAAAGTAAGGCAGCAGCTGCCCAATATAAAGATGGGAAAATATTTGAACTGGGATTTCACAAGAGAATGCATAAATGGGCCGGGTGTGGTGGCTCATGCCTGTAATCCCAGCACTTTGGGAGGCCAAGGCAGGTGAATCACCTGAGGTAAGGAGTTCAAGACCAGCCTGGCCAACATGGCGAAAACCCATCTCTACTAAAAAAAAAATACAAAAAATTCGCCAGGCATGGTGGTGGGTGCCTCTAATCCCAGCTACTTGGGAGGCTGAGGCAGGAAAATTGCTTGAACCTGGGAGGCAGAGGTTGCAGTGAGCTGAGATCCCGTCATTGCACTAAAGCCTGGGTGACAGAGCGAGACTCTGTCTCAAAAAACAAAAACAAAACAAAACAAAAAAAGTGAATGCGTAAATGACCAGTAAACAGATGAGTTGATGTTTAATGTCACTGGTAGTCCAAGAAATATAAATTAAAACAGTGCCTTTTTTTTTTTTTGGCTTTCAGCTTGGGTAAGATTAAAAAGATGGCCATATGGAAGAAACTGTAATAACTACACATATATATGCACTGATGAAACGTGTGAATGTATACTTTCTGTATGCCTAACCATTTATAATCTGATTACCCTATGACCCAGAAATTTTACTTCTAGGAATATATTCCAAAAATATAATTATGAGTATGTGTAAAGATTTAGCTACAATTATTCTCATCAGATTATTATAATTAAAAGTTGCGAAGCAATCAAAATGTGTAATAGGGAGATAGTTACATAAATGTGGCACATTGATAGAAGGAACACTAAGCTGCCATTCAAAACAAAAGTCTTTTTGAATTCTTTGCTATGGAAGTTTGTCTATGAAATATTAAGTAATCTAGGAAGTAGATTACAAAATAGCATTTGTGTCAAGGATCTATAGTAACATGTTGAACACTTGTGTGTTAGATACTAGGCTAAGTGCTTTATGTTGATTATCTCATTTAATTATAACATTCCTTTGAGTAAATATTATTAGCCCTATCTTATAGATTAGTTAACAGAAATAACAGGGGGCTAAATAACTCCAGGTCACACCAGTTGGAAGTGTGGAGCCAGGTTTTAAGGATCAGCTTCAGAATTTGTACATTTGTGTATGTGCATGTATAATAAAAGGGCATACACCAAATAGAGTAACAATGTATCCTGTTAGTTGTAGAACTTCAAGGGATCTCAACTTTCTTATTTATACTTTTTGCAGAGTCTGAGAGTTTTAGCCTGTACTTTTCTTAAGAGGAAATAAAAGCAATGGTGTTTTCATTTCTTAATGTTTTTATTATATAAGAAGGGCAGGCAGCACTGGTTTTAATTTGTATACAGTACATGTCACGTTTTATTTCAAGAGGAAAAGATGGAGAAAAAGAAATAGCATATTTAATTGGCATTTTTTATAACACCCATGGGGCATTATTAGGAAATTAGTAAGTGACGTTTGTGGAGGTAGCTGTTAGGGTAGATACAGAGAAATGGAGTTTTAAAGAATAAAAGCAATTGAACATTAAACACATATTTCTGTTTAAAATTTTAAATACTTTTTGGAAAATTAAAATATTAGTATAGAGGTGATTTTCTTTTTATTGGTCAGCCATCAAGTATTTACTGAATACCAAGCACTGCCAGCAGCAAAGAAGAAGTATAAGATGTAGAATTAATGCTGTAGGTGTAGATACAAAACTTCAGGAAGAGGTAATCTGTATTTAAGATAGTTATATGATCAGGTGGTAAATTACAAAGTTCAGATGAAAATATAGAGAGAGGCCTGGGTCATGAGAATGGGGTTGTATATAAGATGGTTAAGGTTGAATAATACTCATGTGTCATAGAGAAGATACATGGAGAAAGCAAGCGTTGAGTTGACACTGAACGCTGGGTAGGTAGTGACTGAAAGTAGAACACGTTCTGTAGGCAAAATAGCCTGAGCAAGTAGCAGATACAAGAATGAGCAGCTTGGAAATGTACAGTTCAGTAAGGTTTTGGCTGGTTTTCCTGAAGACATAGGAATTAAAGTAAAGTGAGACCAGACTATGGAGAGCTCCCACTGTGAAGCATTTATGCGGCTACATAAATGTATCTAGATGCAATTATCTAGATACATATAAGAAAGTATTTGAAGGCCTTCTACAAGGCTTAGTTATTATATTGGTTTACTACAAGTTCTTCTTCAGTTTCTGTTAGAAATGTTAAGGAGAGTCCTATGATCAAGTCTGTGCCTAACAGATTTGGAAGCTCCTACTACATATCGTAGGTTTTATTTTCACTTTCCAAACTGTATTTTTATAGTGCACCAACAACATTCCATGGATTTTTACGTGAAAAATGATGAACTTGATTAGTGTGAGGAGGCCTCTGTACGCTTGTGAACAGAGTTCTTAATTAAGAAACTCTGCCTTGGGTGGGGCTTTGGACATGGTGTAGCCTAGCTTCCCACCTCAGTGAAGGAATTTCTCTTATAATAATTCCCAAATGAGATTATTCCTATTTACCTAAAATAATTAATAGAGAGAGGAAGATGAAGACCTAATTAGTTGCTTAGCCCGACATTTAGAGTAGCCTATTGCATCTTTGAAATACATATTTATAACTGAATGAAAATTGAGAAGCACATTTTTTTTCAGATTTGTATTTGTTGGAAAAGAATCACGTGGAACACTAAATCATAAGTTAATTTAATCTTTCAAGTAACTTTATCTTTTAATCTATGCAACATGGAATATCTATCATGATATTAACTATTTTAGTTATTTGAGTTGTTTTATAATGCACTGCTTGTAGATGGAAGAAGGCGGTATGTTAACGGTACATATAAAAAAAGTCTGGTTTGGTACAAGATTACATCTCTTTAATAGTAATGATTTAAATCACATCTTTTTAAAATTTGAAGTAGTGCCCTACCAAAGAGTTAAGTTATTACCAGTAACATACACCTCCTCTAAATAAAATAAAAGAGACATGATGATAATTTCTCATAAACCTAGAGTTAAGATTTATCTAGTTCTGTGTACCTGAGATTGCCCCCTTGTCAAACTGATTTTGTCTACTTCACTCAACATATAGCATATTGTTGGTAGAACTGGTAATTCAGAACAAAGCAGAAGACACAGTCTGTTTGTTGAGTGTAAATCTAATTTATGAAGCCATCCAATCACAAGAAATTGCATGAATGAATTTTAAATCACATATAAAGTCAATAGTATTGCTAGAGGAGACTTAGTCAAGGAAGACATTATGGAGAATTTCCAAATTTCCAAAGAGCAAAAAGATGGGCTTTGATGGTCCAAGGAAGGTTTCCATCTAGAAGAAATAGCAAATGGCTGAGTCTGTGAATCTACTGAGTCTTGGACTGTTTATATAATCTTTGTAGTTCGAGATATAGCACAGTGCCTTGTGCATATTTGTATTTTAAAAATATATAGTACCTTGTAGATATTATAAAGAGTAGGAAGTAGACTTTAATAATCTTCAGTATAGTGCAGCCGTTCAAAATGAAGTTTAGGATTAGAGAAATTATAGCTTGAGTCTTAGTTTAACCACTTGTTTCTACCTCTGATATTAGTCAAGATCTTTACCTTGACAGTTTCCTCATGTCAAGGGGGTACATCAAGAGTCAAAATTTGTGATTGTAATGAGCTAAATCTTGTGAAGTAAGATGCTATCTTAAATGTCACCCTGAAATGAAATAGGAACATGGCAGAATGCTACTTTTGTGGCTTGTATTAACATATAAATGCATCCTTTATTGTTTGCTATAGGCTTCTAAGAAGTGATACTAATTGGCTTAAATATTATCTGTGCCATATAATTATTTTCTCTTGGATGGGGGCCAAAATGAGAGAGAGCGTGGGAGGAAAGGACAGGAAGGTTTTTTTCTGAAACAGTAGAGGTGTTCAGACATCTTCATCTAGGTATTTAGAAATTTAATTAAGGCCCATCTTAAGGTAGGGTGAAATATCCTCTTTTCTAATGAAAGAAGTTGATGTCTAATGACCATATATTGGCAGTAATAGACACAGAGTCTGAATCAGGAATAGGAAAAGAGAGGCAATAACGTGTAACATTGGGCAGAGTGTGTGCTCCTGCTCTGCTCTTCTCTAACAGCTTCTTTCCTGACTGTTCTTTGCTTTGTCCGAAAGAGGTAGTCTCTCTATTGTCAATGGGCTCTGTTTTTGGTAATCTTCTCATTTGTTTTCTTCTAGTGAGTCCTGGCTACCATACTGGCTAAAACAAAATATGCTCCCACTCCATTCCTATCCATGACTTTTATTTTAGCCTGGAGGTTCAAATCTCTAAGGACATTTTGACTTTTATATTTGGCTATCAGTGTTCTCAGATAATTCAAGACAAATAGTCACTTAAAAATTTTTTAATGTGCTATGAAATGATCTACTGTGGAGTTTTATGGAGGAAATTCACATATACTTATAAGAAAATACAGAACTTTAAGTAATTTAGAGGCATCTGTGGAGTGAATCAGGCTCTTCCTGTGGCCTCAACTCTCCTTCCTTTCCATACTTTTTCACTTCAGCTTCCTTGTGCCTGGCTCTGGATATGCACTTAACTATAGGTCAGAGGTAAGATTTGATAAGCAGTGTTCTTAGGAGATTAAGTTATGAAACTTAACTCATAGGGAACCAAACATTTGATTTAGGAAGGGAGCTAACTGCCTAGGAGGTCCTTAGGTGTTATTTATGCTAGAAAGCAAGGTCCTTTCTAGGGGCCAGACTTATCCTGATGTATAGAATGAGACTTGTTGAGAAATGCCTGGGAACAAACTGTAAGAGTGATACTAGGTACCCTGGATGCCTAAACCCGTTAATAGGGTTCCTAAATACTTACCTTAGAAATCACTGGTGACTTAAACACTACAGAGAACCGTAAAGATTTATGTGATCCAGTATATTCTACCAAATTATTCCTGGTGTAGTTAAGTCTGACTTAAATAGAAATATGACCAGATAACATGCCTGTACCAATTTTATGATCTTAAACTTAAAATTTTAATTTACTTGGAAACATTTAATGGGAAACGTTGAAAACTAAGTAGTTGACCAATCATGGTGAAATTTTCTTGACATATACTTTAACAAATCCTGCATTTCAACAACAGATAAAAAAACAACTGAGGAAAAGCAGATCTAGAACATTTATATGAAGAAATAGAAATAAAAGTGCTGGTTTTATATGATTTATAAATCCCTTTCTTTTTAAAGACTGGTATTTGGGAATGGTAGGCAATAGAGGATCGGTACTTGGTTGGTCTTAGTCCCACTGTTTATTATTGATTAGATATCCTCCATGTAATCTTTTGGGCAAGTTATGTTTTTAACTTGAGATTCACTTTCCTCATTTATAAAATAAACGGTTACCAAAATTACCTACTTGGTAATGTGGTACTGAGAATTATGTAAAAGGGAACTATGTAAACTATCTGGCAGGGCATCTGGAAGTTAGTACTCAATGGTAAATATTAACTATTAATAGTGATAACTGCAAACCTTTTTTAATATCATATGTTTTTACTGCTATTTCTCTAGATCTTTTTAATTGATCATATAAGGTATGCCCCTTTAAAAAAATTGAAAATTCTTTCTCTTTTTCTTATATTAATTTAAACTTATAAAATGATGTGATTCCCTTGTCTTCCTTCTCTTACACATTGTAACTCTCTGCTGCACCTAGATGCATTATAAAATCTTACTAATGTAAACATTTTAAAACTTGAAGCATTTTCCTCATAAGAGCCATGTTTCTTATATTTATCATAGTAAGAGAACTTCTAGATATGACCTTACTAATCCTTATAGTCTTTCAATAAATATTGCCATTTGGAATCTACTTTAATGTTTAAAAATATTAGGGATTATAAAATATGTATATATATTGTAGCTATAAGTACTTAGAAAAACGTTATGAAATTATGACAGTAATACAAATTAAGCTAAATATTTCTAGTGAAACCACCACATTTACTTGATAGAAGTTTTTGTATACTTTACTAATTATTCTGCATACGCAGGTCATTTTAACTTAATATTGCAAAATAAGCTCTTTTTTCCATTTTTCTTAAATGTAGTTTATAATAGCAGCATGCTAGTCCATTACAGTTTTCAACCATAATTAAATCAGCTATTTCCTCGTAATAAATTATTTCCAGTTTTTAGATTATAAATCGTGTTTCCATGCACTTTTTATACTTACAGTTTTTCCTTTTTTTGTTGTTGTAGGATTAATCTAGGAATGTTATCACTGGGTCAAAGACTATCAACGTGCTTTTGACTCTTGAAAGGAAAGTGCCTTTCAAAGGAGTTCTGATAGTTGGTATTGCCAGAGGCAACCTATAAATAAGGTTCTTCCTGCCACTTTCTAGCAATGGATATAATGGCTATTAAATTGGCCAATTCAATCAATGTTAAGTGATATCTCATTTTTTTCTTCTTCTTTCTTTACAAGGGACAGAAATAATTGTTGACATACTGTTTTGGATTAAAGTGGGTAATCGTGATGAAATAATTTGGAATTGGTAGTACAGTTATAATAAAGCACACGTTGAAACTAAATTAAAAAGACTCTTTAATGCATCTTGTTGACTTTTTATGTGAAGAATGTGTATGGTCACAATTGAAACTCTTATGGGAAAATTTTAAAGTTTTTGAAGTAAAAAAGAAAAAAGAGGCCAAAAAACTTTAAAATGTATTTCCATCTTGTAGATTCAATTGCTGATTTCTTAATGTGCCATCTACTTTAAACTCTTAAGTATCTGAAGCCCAAGTCACTACATGTAGAATTAGAAACCACTGTTTTTGGTTTTAAGGGTATTTATAAATAGCCTGAGTGGAACCTTTATCTTCAGTTTTACTGTTAAAGCCTAATTGAGTTTTACTATTAAAGGTGACTATACTCTGTCTTCCTCCTTAGCTTGCTTTTGCTTCATTTATAGAACAGACCCTAGTATTTTAAAAACAATTATATATGCCACTCATACCTACCCCTCTCCCCCCGCTCCCAAGACAAAATGTATGCATGTTGAATGAACAGACATCGCGAAGTGGGGGGATTTCTTTGAGCTGTAGAATTAGATGATGAAAAAAGGGAGAGGGGGAAGTGTGAGAACTACAGAGAAAAGAAGACAGTTAGAGAAGAAGACATGGAGATATGAAAGAAGTAGCTTTACACTTTGAGTTCTCATTGCCTTCGTATTTCTTCACAAATTCTCAGGCAAGCTGTAAGGTAGGTTGTTTTTTAAGGCTTATTGATAAGCAGTTGATTCGTATTTTAGGTCAAACTAATTCTGCATCTCTTTCCCATTGTTCTTTTCTATTCTGCTTCTTTATTCTACTCTATTTTTAAGAGAAACACTGTCTAACTTGCTGGCTCTTTCTGCTCTGCTGTTGCTCCAGCCCTGCAGCTTCCCCACCGTGTGAATTTGCACTTCAGTGGCACCATTTCCTGTTAGAAACCAAAGGCAGGCCCCTGACTTTTCTAGGTGGTGATTCACACAGGAAAAGACCTGAAAAGCTGTATCAGGGCACCTGACTTCACCGTGGGACTAGCTGATCGACTTGAAGCACAAATGGGGCCCTGGAATCTTTTTCCTACCTTTTGGTCTCCTGTGGGACTGAGGTAGAGTGGTCAAAAAATTTAAAGATTGATGTAAGTAGATTCTAGAACACAAATTACAGAAGGTTAGAATCGATGTTTTTCAGATTACCCTGGATAGAAATCAAGGTGAATGATACTGATATTTGAATCCAAATCAGGTATTTGTTGTTTTTAATTATAGTAAAATACATGTAACAGAAATGTACTATTTTAACCCTTTTTAAAACATTATATATTGTCATGTAACTGTATCTAACATGGAAATATGTGCATGCATATGTAACTTACAAAGATGAAAACTGTTCCTTCCTTATTTTGTAATAGAAGAACCTTAAATATCACTATTTTAATTTTCTTTTTAAATTGTGAAATACAACTTAAAATTTTAGTTTAACCATTTTTAAATGTATAATACAAGGTGATGTTTTTTCACTATATAAGTTAGGCTTTACATAAAGGAATTACATACAGTTCTATTAGAGAAGCATGCAACTAAAAAGAGGTTGATTTGCAGATATTTCACTTTTTTGGAAATGAAATAACTGATTTTTTTCCTCTTCCATCCCTCTTTATTTTTCTACACATATATTTTGGTACTTGAAGTATTGCTAAGTTTTTGAACCCAGTTTTCCTCCAAGGTAAAGGTTTTTTTTTTTTTTCTTCAAAATCTTGAGTTAATTTTTTCATGTAATGAATTTGCAATCCATGTGCAATCGATCTTTATAATAAAAATAGGAAATTGACATTTCACATTGTATCCATAATTGGCATAAATTATGATGATTAATAATGTCAAGTTTGTGAGTTAGGGTACCCAAAACTCAACTGTTTCACTAGAGAAATCTTAGCAAATCCAAATTATTTAATTGTTTGCATTTTACCAAATAATGTTTTCAGCCTGTTATGGGGACTCTAGAGAGGTGGTTATCTGACAGTTGTCAAGTCGGAGGAAGTTAAGATGCCTTTGTATCTACCTGGGCTCATCATTTAGCTATATCTGCAGTCATTTGGTAATGTCATCCAGTCAGTCAAATGTGTTTCATTTACTTTATTCATCAATATAATCTACATTATATTTACGACAGTGACTGTTTATAAAAAGGCAGTATATAAACCTGGACAGTTCTAAATTCCCTTGGGTACCTTTCTTACCTCAGTATATGTTAGTAAATGATGATTATGTCCTATGCAGTGGAGTGCCAGAACTCTTGCATCTGTTTAGACTACTCACTGATTTTCTTTTTTTTTTTTTTAACTCTGAACAAACCAAAGTGTCCAACATGTGTAACTCACTAATGTTCACAACCCACTTGTAGCGAAACTAAGAACCTTAAAATGACCTTGAAGCTATAGCAGTAGTGAGCATCAGATATATTCAGACACTTTATGAGTCGATTAGCAACAGAGACTTCTTCCCTTAGAAAATAGAAGTAGTTGGGAAGCAATGACATTTGCATAAAGGCACTTCCTTTTGCCACCTTTTGGATTTTTTTTTTTTTTGTAGAATTATGGTTTAATCTTACTGCTGTTATTAAACTGCTTTAAGCTTCTTTCCAAGTATCACAGCCAAATTGAAGGATTTATTTCCTTGCTTGCACTTTGAAACATAGCTGTCAAACAAAGTAAGCAAAGGCAAGTGATAGAGATACAGCCCCTTTGCATTTTCAGTTTATTTGCATTTGTTCATGACTTCTAAGACACTTTAAATTTCCAAAGGAGTTTGCTTTCTTTAAACTCTGTCATATGTACATTGTTACCTGAATGAGTCTGTGAGAGATCAAAGTACCTGTCAGCTTAGTAAATAGAAGAGATTTTTTTTCTCTCTGAGCTGGTTATAAAGGGAGATTCCATTGGCTTATTTATGTTGAGAACTTAACATAGTTAGGAAAACAGTGGGTGGTTAAAGTTTGAAAAGTGTCAGGGAAGAGGTGGGTGGTTTCTGTAGAGTATCAAATATTTGAAGTATATTAAAGCTGAAATAAGTGAAAATCTGTTAGATTACTTGGAGTTTCTCCTAATTTCCTATGTTTTAGAGAGACTTTTTCCCCCTCAAGTGCATTTGCATATATAGAAACAAAATGTGGCTTCCACAAATGATGTTGCCTATCTCTCTTAAAGTAATATTTAAATGAATAATACAGACTCGTTAATATTGTCAATTATTTTATAGGATACTTGAAGCTGAAGAAGACACAAATATCAGTGGCCTAACTAATTTGTACCTATGGAATTACTATTTTGGTGAAAAATATTTTCACTCCACGTGTTCATTGTGTGTGCATGCCTGCCCTCTCTCGGCAGTGGTCCAGCTGATTGCTGCTGTTACTGTTAAGGGCTCTTAGTGTATCAAAAATAAGTTCTTGAGCATGACAGAATGATGCGTATACTCATTTTTTAAATTGGAAACAAATGTTCTGTATTAACTATATAGTGAGTACAATCAAATACATAAACCATTAGATGGGCAACTAAGCTGGTAAGCCATGGAGAATTTACTATTTTGTTGGATATTTGTTAGAGCATGAAGTTGGAATTGAGAATGTATTTTCTCCTGAAATATAGTTGATGATTATGTATCTGTCTGTGAGGTGTGGTTAATTCCACAAAGCTTATTTCTTCTACAGTATCCCCCAAATTAGAATATGGTACTGCCATTATGTGATAACCCTGTATATGACAGTGTATCTATTGGAAAATGTTTTGAGTTTTCGTATGAATTTTTAGGGGCATTGCTGTAGCTCTGACAGTATAAATATGGATTTGAAAGTTATAAGCCATACACAACTTGATATTTCAGAGGCTAGGAGTTGCAGTGGGGCTCCAGTGCACTGGTGGTGATAAAACTGTTAGGGGTTGGAATCTCTTTGCACTTTGATCTCTTAGGAACTGTCTTAACCCTAGCTGTATTTCACATGCCCCTTTTCTTCAAGATCACCAGAAACTTGCTTAATCTGCTACCTCTTCACAATGAACAGCTGATGCTCTGGCCATAGTAGCTATCAGCCCCCTTTCCTGCTAGTTAGTTCCTGGGTTAGTGTCCCCACAAAATTCATGTCCTTTTTGGGACCTCAGAATGTGATCTCATTTGGAATTAGAGTTGTTGCCAATGTAATGAATTAAGATGAGGTCATCCTAGAGTAGAGTGGCCTTTAATCCAATATGGCTGTGTCCTTCTAAGAAGACACACACATAGGGAGAGCACCATGTCACAGAGGCAGAGATTGGAGTGATATATTTACAGGCCAAGGAATACCAGCGATTATTGGAACCACCAGAAACTCAGAGAAAGGCATGGAACAGATTCTGCTCTACAGGCTTCAGAGAGAACGTGGCCCTACCAACAACTTGATTTTGGAATTTCAGCCTCCATAACTGTGAGAGAGTAGATTTCTGTTCTTAAAAGCCACCTGGCATGTGCTACTTCCTTACTGCAGCCCTAGGAAACTAATACACCTGCCAATAAGTAGAGAAGAACACGGTCTCTGAGTTTCTCCCCTGTAAGTCTGTTTTTTAGCAAACATGTAAGTAATTTTTAACGTTCTCGAAAATTCTCAAAAACAAAACCAAACATCTGTAGGTGAAGAACATTCATTTTCAACCATCACTTCAGTTTGGCATTTTATGGGAAAGCTATTCCATACTAGGATCCCATCCCCAGAGGTTCTAATCTGGTGGGTTAAGGGTAGGGCCTGGGCATCTGTATGTTTTAAAACTTCCCAAGGGAATCTTGGAATATGCAGCTAGAGCAGAGAATCACTAGTGCAGAGGGAAGAGTAAGAACTAGCCAGGTGCACATTAGAATCAGTTTGTTGGCTTCTGAAACTTACTGATGCGTGAGCCCCAACACCAGAGGTTAGGGATGCAGCCTGCCATTTGGTTAGGGATGCAGAGAGTTAGGTCGAAGAGAGTTTTGAAGCTCCCGGTGATTTTTTTTTTTTTTCCACAGTGGATGGATGGATGAGATCTCAGCATGACAAAATACCTTCTTCTGTACTGTGTTCTTTCTTTTTCATAATTCAAGGCCTTCCCAGACATCTTCAAAGGAGGCGGCCAATACGTTATATGTTGGGGGGGTTGGAGTGGTCACTGCAGGTGGGTGCAGGTGGCTGCAGGTGGGGTGAGAGGGGGTCAATTTTTTTTTTTTTTTTGGATTTACCCTTTTCCCTCCTATTTTCTGCACCATTGCATGTTCTGTGGGAAAACCTGTCTTGGGCCCACATGAAGGAAATGAGAATGAAAGTGTAAGGTTGCAAAAGTATAGATGTGAGGGGATACCCAGTGAGAGGAAAAAATTTGAAAAATGCCATGTGGCAGAAGTGGGAGACAAAATTTGAAAAATGCCATGTGGCAGAAGTGGGAGACTGTGGCCACTGGTGGCTGTTTCAGTTGTGTATAATCCATTGAGCCTGTACAGAGGGGACTTAATGTGTGTGTATAGACATAAGTACAGATAATTTTTGTGCAGGACATAAAAATGTCTGTATAATTATGTTTTTTTCTGAAATTCTGTTTGCAGTGAATGTTGCCCCCGTATTATGTGATTATTTCCAAGAAGCTCCTATTTCTCCATCTTGCAGTCTGCCTTGTACTTTGTAGACTTGTCATTTGGGTTGTGCCTGTGGTGTTATTGACTAAGAGATATGTTGTTAATACCTCTGATGCTGTACTAGTGACTAATATCTAGTATTGTTGCCATTTCCTTCATAATGACAGTATATTTAGAATATCTAAGACACAAAAAGATCAGATTTAAAGCAGGTCTTTTGCATGTAGATGACTTGGAATGAAAGCCGCCTTCATCCTGCACTCATTTCCTTGCTTTGTCCACATGCTTTACTACCCTCCTGATGACCATCACTATGTTTTGAGACCACATTAGGGAGACCTCATCATTGGTGAAATTCTTTAAGATTGGTTCTGAGATCTATGCTTGATGGCAGTTCTTAAAAGCACTCATAGTCATTGCTATCCGAAGTTCTTGTGTATCTACTGATAAGCACTCTTGCTTTATTTAATTTGCTTATCAATCCTTTGAGGTAGATTATAGCACTTCTATTTTCTTGATAGGAGACTATCAGTGAGATTTGTCCTTTGGAACTAACCAGTGGCATACTGGCAAGCGACTTCCTGAATAAAAGGCCCTTATTTGTAGCATTTGCTGACTTCCTTGATGTAAATACACAGACTATGATGGATTTCAAGCTACTGAAGTGTAGTCATGGGGTTGTAAAGAGATGTGTGCAGTCAGCTCTCCCATGCCTGTACTAGCCAGATGCAACCCTCCTCTGGATCTATTATGCTATGCTGCCAAACTTTTCCCTGTTCCCCCTTCCACAGCAGTCATTTTACAGAATCCCCTGCGTCACAAACGAACATCATGTCCTATTTGTAGCCTCTTCTACTGAAAGTTTCTCAAAAACATGGAATTACAATCAACTGCCAACTTCCAGGACCCTTACTGCCCTAGACTAACATAGAATTAATGAAATAGGATTTATTATAGTAAGGCATCTTTTTTTTTTCTTGATGAGAAAAGTGGGAGTAATGCTATTGAGTCAAATGCCTGATCATTCCTGATGTGAGTAGCAATTTTATGAACTTATTAATAACACATCAAACTGATTTTTCTCATGACACCAATCATTCTTTTTGGTTTAATTCAAAATGCTTTTTTCTTTTCTTTTGACGTCTCCTTTTTCTTGGCATGGTCTTTAGGTGAAACCACCTTTTCACCGTCTTTACATGAAACCACCTTTTCTCCAAGGTAGAATTTGCTTTTGGCACAGCTGTGTAGTAGCAGACGTCGAGGGGTCTGGATCTTGATGGTAATGGAAAACCATGAGACTTGTCAGTCCTTTTTTCAGAATTGTGAATGAAGTGGTCAGCAGTAGTGTCTCCTTCCCATTCCATCTTTTTTTTTTTTTTTGAGACGGAGTGTGGCTCTGTCGCCCAGGCTGGAGTGCAGTGGCGTGATCTTCACTCACTGCAAGCTCCGCCTCCCGGGTTCACGCCATTCTCCTGCCTCAGCCTCCCGAGTAGCTGGGACTACAGGCACACGCCATCATGCCTGGCTAATTTTTTTGTGTTTTTAGTAGAAACGGGGTTTCACTGTGTTAGCCAGAATGGTCTCAATCTCCTGACCTCGTGATCCACCCGCCTCGGCCTCCCAAAGTGCTGGGATTACAGACGTGAGCCACTGCGCCCAGCCTTCCATTCCATATTTTTATGGAAAAGTCTAAACAATTATTTCCTTGCCCTTCTCTATTTCTACCTGATTGTAAATCTCAGAAAACATGTGTCTTGGGTTCATTTTTCCTGATCCTGGCCATAACACTGACTTCCTTAAAAATTAGAGTGCATTCTAAATCATTGCCTTTTGTCAAGCTTCCTATTCGTGCTAAGACCTTGAGTGAGATGTGGTAGGCATCATTAATGTGTTGCTGCCATCTTTGTAGGGTTTGCCCTGTAGTGATTAGGGTACCCGTTTTCTTTCTTCAGCACAGCTGTGATAGGTTGAATAGAGTTGAGAGAGCTTGATTCTATCCTTGGCATGGACTGCGTGCTTTTTCTAAGATGCTTTGGTTATATGGGAGTTGCTTTCATTTACGAGCACTGTGTAATTGGAAAAAAACCCAAATATTATTAAACAATTTCTGAAATTGCTTTTTGAAGTATATATTGCATGAAAAGATACGTTAGTGAATATAAATATGAGACATGTAAAGTCTTTTTTATAACCAAATTCCATGTAGGAATGATTTGTTTTAAGGCAGACTGGGTTTTTCTTCTTTTCTTTCCCAGCTTGTCAAGCACCTTTAAGACATGGCCACAGGCCATGGGATTTCAGTCCCCTCACAACATAATGTCATTTTATATTTGATCCCTAAAGATTTTGAAATTGTTAAGATTTTATGACTGCCTGACACTTATATTTAATGTCCAGGCCATGACCCTGAGCAATGAGAGCATGTGATCACGGGGACCATGGACTTGAGTTTATGTTACTGTTACAGAGGTTCCTGAAAGAAAAGACCAGGGGGCTTCAATGCAGTTTGGAGTCTGCACAATTTATTTTGCTTTTGCTGAGGAAATAAAGGAGTACATTTTTATTCTCTTAAAAACGTTAAAATTGGGAGCATTTTCCACAAGAAAAAGATGTTTCCAGGAAAAGGAGAAATTGTATTTTAATCTAATTACAAGAGATGTAACATTATATTGATCTGCTACCTACTTTTATTTAAACATACGATGTTAGAGTTTTTGTTGCAAGGGACTTGTAAGTTAAAAAGACCTATTATGAGTAAGCTTCTTGACAGAGAAATCTGATTTTCAGCATGAACAGCATAAATGGAAACTGCTTTCTCTGTGATAATTCTATAATTTTGTATTGATTTATAATGAATATGCTTATCCAAAGAGAGTTACAGTGAAATGGAATTACATTCAATTACTTAAACTCTTTTCAGTTTGAAGTTTTCATATGGATAGTTGATAGTATGGGAGTAGAGATATAGTTTTGTAATGAAAGTTTGAGTGTTAATCCTCTTTGGTAAAACCACTTAAAAACTTGAACTTCAGTAGACAAGACCAATCCTAATTTCTGCATATTTGTATTTAAAACATAATAAGTTAACATTTTGATTTATTTACCTATGTATATGTAAGTAAATGTTCCTAAAATAAGACTTAGTTTGCCTCAATTGTGAGTCCCCATTTGAAGACCCTTGATCCAGAAATGTAGACCTCTAATATGTTATTATAAATTAAAACAAATTTTTTCCCCTCCAAGCTTTAAAAAAATACATACACAGTTTTTGTAATTTCTGTTAGCTGAATAAAGCATGCCTGATATCGATTGTTTTCATCAGTAAAAGATAAAACATGGGTTCTTTTCAGTGTAATAGGCCTTGCTGAATCATCTATGATAAGGCTAGGATGATACCTAAATATTTGAACGTTATGGAGTGAAACACCATTGCCATTGAGACAGAAATGTTCAGTAAAAACTACATTTGCGAATGATCTGAACAGTGGCCCATTTCCAAAGGTTAATTTGCCTTGTGGAAATTATATATATATAGATTTATTTTGTATACTTTTTCAACAGTAGTGAGCACCCCCTTAGTGAATAATTCATTGTGCAGAAACATTATTACTAATTTAAATTGGTAAAATTCCATTGAAGTTTCATTTATTGAAGATGTTACCTATGTATGTATATATTCTTCAAGTTTATTTTTTTAACTGATATAAAATTGTATGTATTATTTACAACATGATGTTTTGAAGTACATATACACCGTAGAATGGTTAAATCTAGCTAATTAACAAATGCATTACCTCACATAGTTACTGTTTTTTGGAGAGAACACTTTAATGTCACTTAGTATTTTTCAAGAATACAGTATATCAATAATTAAAGTCAGTATGCTGTACAATAGATGTCTTGAATGTATTTCTCCTGTCTAACTGCAAATATGTATTCTTTGACCAACATCTCCCCAACTACTCCAGCTTCTGGTAACCACCATTCTGCTCTCTACTTCTAATGAAATCAACTTTTTAAGATTCCACATGTGAGTGAGATCATGCAGTATTTGCCTTTCTGTGCCTGGCTTATTTCACTTAGAATAATGTCACACAGATTCATCTGTGTTGTCACAAATGGCAGGATTTCCCTCTTTATTATGGCTGAATCGTGTGTATATTTTTTTAAGTAAAAAAAAAAAAAAGCAGTAATTATAAGAATTTTCAAAAGTTTTCTCCTGGCCTTGGTTGTTCCAATCCTAATTTATCACATTCTTCCATGATATTATTGAGGAAGGTAGAGTGGAGCTGGCATGCACCACTGAATAATCTCATGCCCTGTGTACTCTCCCAGCCTAGCAGAGATGACAGTGCTCCTTGGTGACAGCTCTGGAACTGTCTGCTCTAATGCTTTCTTCCCCTTTCTTTAGTTCATCCCTGGAGGGTTAGACAATCATTGATATGCCAGGGCGCCTGCTTCTCTGTGCCTTTCACTGCAGCTTGGCCAATTTCTTTCAACTCAGACTGTTTGCTTTAGATATATGTATAAATATTATTATACATATACATGTATAGATGTGTGTGTATCATTTCTGTCTTTTTTGACAGTCGCCAACTTATCTCAGGAAAATCTTTTCCTTCATATTTTTCTATTTGTAACGAAAAAGATAATGATCCTGTTATTGCTGTGTACCATCACTTAAAAAGGTTTTTTTTTGGGGGGTGGGGGGGACAGGAAGGAGGGCCTCTTTTGATAAAGTTGGTACCAACGTACTATAGCTTTTTATGGCAGTGTTAATCCTGTGTATATGTAGTCTGTATTCAGCAACTAGATGAAAATAGAATTTCCCAATGAAGAGAAGAGTTAAAGATATGATTAAGATAAGATCTCAAATAGAATCAAATGACTTGTCTGGTTCTGAGGATTTCAGACTTCATAAAGTTTTTGTGAGATAATTCACATAACTTATAAGTTCACATAACTACCTTATGTGTTGACTTTTTTTTTTTTTTTTTTTTTTTTTTTTTTTTAGGTTGAGGGCACTTATTTATTCGCTCATTTTTAGTTCACTTTTTGACTAAAGTGTAGTTCACTCAAGGAAGTGCATATATTACAAATGTACAAATGGATGAGTTCCCACAAAATGAAGATATACACACAGTATTTATCCAGATAGTCATAAAACATTACCAGCAGCCTCTTGCACAAGTGTCAACTACTGTGCTGTCTCCTATCACCATAGACGACTGTCCCTGAATGCCACGAGTACATGTGCTGTTTTGAGTCCGGCCTTTTCTGCTCAACATTATTTTGGGGGTCCATATGAATTTTAAAATTGATGTATAATATTCCATTATGAGTTTATCAAAAAGCTTCCACAGATTTATTCATCCATTTTACTGATGATAGACATTTGGATTGTTTCCAGTTTACAGCAGTTGGGAATCTGCACTGTGAATTTTCTAGAAGTGCCTTTTGGTGCACCATGTACACAAAAAAGTGTAGGGCATGTTTCTAAAAGTAGAATTGCTGAGTCTTAAGGAGTATATTTTCATTTTAGTAGACACTGCCAAACAGTTTGCCTAAGTAACTGTGTCATTTAGACATTTGTCAATGCTACATGAGAGGCAGGGCATGGTGGCTTACACCTGTAATCCCAGCACTGTGGGAGGCTAGGGCAGGAGGAACACTTGAGGTCAGGAGGTCAAGACCAGTATGGGCAACAGAGTAAGACCTCGTCTCTACCAAAAATTTAAAAAATTAGCTGGGCATGGTGGCACATGCCTGTACTCCTAGCTACTTAGGAGGCTGAGGTGGGAGGATGGCTTGAGCCCAGGAGTTTGAGGCTTCACTGAGCTATGATCACATGCCATTGCACTCCAGCCTGGGTGACAGAGCAAGACCTTGTCTCTTAAAAAACAAACAAACCAAATCTGGAATTCCAGATACTCCGTATTGTTTTTATTCTTCACATTGTCTTTTTGCCATTCTAATGGCTGTGTATTGGTGTCTCTTGGTGGTTTTAATGTGCATTTTCCTAATGATTCATATTAATGAATATCTTTCGCATGTAAATGGCCATTTGGCTATCTCTTGGGAGGAACTTATCCAAATTTTTTGTTTGTTTTTGGTCCATTTTTCTTTTTTAATGGGCTTATCTGTCATTTTCCTTTTGGTTCATTTTAGAAATTGAACCAAAGCCTAAATCCAGTGAGACATTTGCTAGGGAGGATGAGAATAATGGAAAAGTTATTCCAATAGACATACTTATTTGCTCTTTTTTTAAAAACCAATGTTTAGTAAACATCTGTTATGTCCATCTTTTATGTCCATATCTCTAATGCCTTTACCATGATAAAAGGATAGTATCTGGCTAAGGAATTTTGCAGTCTGGTGGTGTATTAAGGCAAATACAATGATATTAAGAATGCTTGTTGTTAAATGCTTTGATGATTAGGGGCAAGAAGAGAGTCCAATGAAAGCATAAGTGAGTCCCGTAATAGTCTCAGAGTTTAAGACCTACCTTGGGAAGAAAGGGAGTCAGAACCTAGAGGCAAAGTAGGAGTTAGCCAGATTAAAATTAGGTTGGGTAATAGTGTTTTATAAAGATAGAGGGAACAGTGTACAAATATTCATGTTGGAGAGATTGCTATGCCTGTGGAAAGAGAGGGTGTATGTAAGTATATCTAGGGGGTGTTGCTTAAATTAATGAATATTTTAAGACTTTTTATTATTTACTGAGATTCTCTCATGCACCCAACCCTGTGAAACTCATGGGCGCACTAGGGTGGATAAAAGTAATAATAACAATGATAACAATCGTCATTTACTGAGTGTTTCCTATGTGCTGGGCACTGTGATAAGCACTCGCATTATTTCGTTTAATTCCTTTAGCCAGTTTATGATACAGGCACTGTTATTACTCATCATTTATATTAGAAGAAAATAGGTCTTAGAAAGTTCAGTGAGCCTTATGGTACCCTGTGCTCACCAAATTTATAACCTAGTGGAGACTTCAGAAATTGCACAAAGAATTACACATACACCTTTTAAGTTTACTAGGGATTACAATAGCAATAAATTAGACATGGATCAGTCTATGGTAATAGTAAGAGTTGCAGGATACTAGAAAGATTAGAAGAGTAAACATTTTCTAGCATTGTTTTACAATTAGATGTATATAATCTACTGTTTATATTACATACTACTGTATACTAATAGTATATAATTTATTATATATAAATGTGCCTCTATCCAGCTATGATCATGAAAAGGTAATAAACTGTAGTAGTTATGAGCACAGATTTTGGATTCACAATCCTTGGATTTGATTCCTGACTTCACCATTTGCTATTGAATTAACCATGGCAAACTCTTAACCTCACAGCTTTACTTAGAAAAACATTGTGTTAAATCCTTACTTATTCATTTCAAAATTTGGTGGTCCTGTGAGGAAAAACACATTCAAATTTGCCTTTGGTTTTCAAAGTTTCAATCTGCTGAACATTAACAAAAAAAGCCCTTTACAGACGGAGACCTTGGAAAGTACATACTTTTGGGCCTGCAGAAAATTTTTGGATTGAACTGCGAAGGCACTGAAAATAGAAGGTTATAACTGAAATGTCAGCATATATAACTTTAACAATTGCGGTCAATGCTACTGGAATATTAAATATACCTGTTAAATACATTCTTTCTTTTCAGTATATAAATTTTAATATGCATTCCATATCTCTCCAGCCATATTTCCTATATCAATAGTCCCCTGTGGCAACTTTATCTTTGAATACAAACTACGCATGTTCAATATTTGAGTAGTGATAATGGGTTTTATTCTATAAATAACAGCCTTAGTACCCTAAACTACAGCCAGCATAACTTTACCATTTGCAGGAACTACTGTGCTTTATATTCTAAATGGCTGTTTTAATGTTTTATTCGTTACCAGTAAACAAACGCAGGACATAGGAAGAAGAAAACTTCATTAGCATGGAATAAGCAAATCTATCATTCTGGTAGTGGGGTGTCCTCTATCCACTGGGCTGGTGTGCCTCAACTGCTGAAATACAGTGTTCCAGGGCCCTTCTAGAACGTTTTCACAGTACAAGTTATATTTGAATCA